>NC_000001.11:114705350-115008380 GCF_000001405.40 Homo sapiens | reverse complement strand
ACAGCTCTTGTCCTGTTACTGGGATTTGGTGGAAACTGAACATTTGACTACGGGTCAAGTCGCCATGCAACCTGAACTGCCTATCATGAATTGTGCTTTTTTACCCGTTTAGCCATAGAGTGGGGTGTGCACAGCAGCACTCCATCATCAAATGGAAGTGGTATACACATGATCAGGCTTGAGCAGGTCCTGAAGGCACAAGTAAGTTGCATGAGGAAATGGCTCAAATGCTCATGGTCTCCACTCCTGCCACCCTGCCTTCTCTCCCCTAGCCTGAAGCAATGGCCTCATGGGGAGTTCCCTATGATCAGCTGACAGAGGAAGAGAAGACTAGGGCCTGGTTCACAGATGGTTCTGCATAATATGCAGGCTCCACCCAAAAGTGGACAGCTGCAGCACTACAGCCCCTTTCCAGGTCATTTCTGAAGGACAGCGGTGAAGGGAAATCTTCCCAGTGGGCAGAAGTTTGAGCAGTGCACCTGGTTGTGCACTTTGCATGGAAGGAGAAATGGCCAGATATGCGATTATATATGGATTCATGGGCTGTAGCTAATGGTTTGGCTGGATGGTCAGAGACTTGGAAGAAGCATTGTTGGAAAATTGGTGACAAAGAAATTTGGGGAAGAGGTATATGGATGGACTTCTCTGAGTGGTCGAAGATTGTGAAGATATTTGTATCCCATGTGAGTGCTCACCAACGGGTGACCTCAGTAGAGGAGGATTTTAATAATCAAATGGATAGGAAGATTCTTTCAGTGGACACCACTCAGCCTCTTTCCCCAGCCACCCCTATCATTGCCCAATGAGCCCATAAACAAAGTGGCCATGGTGGCAGGGATGAAGGTTGCACATGGGCTCAGCAACATGGGCTTCCACTCACCAAGGCTGACCTGGCTACACCCACTGGTGAGTGCCCAATTTGCCAGAAGCAGAGACCAACACTGAGCCCTTGATATGACACCATTCTTTGGGGGGTGATTATCCAGCTACTTGGTGGCAGGTTGATTATGTTGGACCTCTTCCATCATGCAAAGAGCAGCAGTTTGTTCTCACTGGAATAGATACTTTATCTGGATATGGCTTTGCCTATCCTGCACACAATGCTTCTGCCAAGACTACCATCCATGGGCACACAGAATGCCTTATCCACCATCATGGTATTCTGCACAGCATTGCCTCTGACCAAGGCACTCACTTTATGGCTAAAGAAGTACAGCCGTGGGCTCATGCTTATGGAATTTACTGGTCTTACTATGTTCCCCATTATCTTTAAGCAGCTGGATTGATAGAACGGTGGAATGGGCTTTTGAAGTCACAATTACAACACCAACTATGTAATAATACTTTGCAAGGCTGCGGCAAAGTTCTCCAGAAGGCTGTGTATACTCTGAATTAGCATCCAATATATGGTACTGTTTCTCCCATAGCCAGGATTCACGGGTCCAGAAATCAATGGGTGGAAGTGGAACTGGCACCACTCACCATCACCCCTAGTGACCCACTAGCAAAATTTTTGCTTCTTGTTCCTGCAACATTATGTTCTGCTGGCCTAGATGTCTTAGATTCCAGAGGGAGGAATGCTGCCACCAGGAGACACAACAATGATTCCACTAAACTGGAAGTTAAGATTGCCACCTAAACACTTTGGGCTCTTCCTACCTTTAAGTCAACAGCCTAAGAAGGGAGTTAAAGTGTTGGCTGGGGTGATTGACCTGGACTATCAAGATGAAATCAGTCTACTACTCCACAATGGAGGTAAGGAAGAGTATGTCTGGAATACAGGAGATCCCTTAGGGCATCTCTTAGTATTCCCATGCCCTGTGATTAAGGTCAATGGGAAGCTACAATAGCCCGATCCAGGCAGGACTACAAATGGGACAGACCCTTCAGGAATGAAGGTTTGTGTCACTCCACCAGGAAAAAAACCACAACCAGCTGAGGTGCTTGCTGAAGGCAAAGGGAATATAGCATGGGTAGTAAAAGAAGGTAGTCATCAATACCAGCTATGACCACATGACCAGTTGCAGAAACAATGACTGTAATTGTCATGAATATTTCCTCCTTCTTTTGTTAAGAACATGTTTGTCCATGCGTACACTTGTACTAAGAAAAGATCATTTTATTTCCTTTTTCCTTTATCATGTGACATAAGATTTATTGACTTCACATCAGCATTTAAGTGTTAACTTTATGTAATAGCATTTGGGTTGGGGATTGTGCATTTCCCATTGTATGAAGGATAGTTGTATTATGTTAGGTGTAATTATGACCTTATTACTGCCTTTATTTGAAGATTATGTGTGATTTCAGGAGATGTGTATGGATTCAAGTTGACAAGGGGTGGACTTGTGATGGTTAATATTGAGTGTCAGGCTGGGCACGGTGGCTCATGCCTATAATCCCAGCACTTTGGGAGGCCGAGGTAGGCGGATCACTGGAGATCAGGAGTTCGAGACCAGCCTGGCCAACATGGTGAAATGCTGTCTCTACTAAAAATACAAAAATTAGCTGGGCATGGTGGCGTGCGCCTGTGGTACCAGCTACTCAGGAGGCTGAGACAGGAGAATCGTTCAGGTGGTGGATGTTGCAGTGAGGCAAGATTGCACCACTGTACTCCAGCCTGGGTGACAGAGTGAGACTCTGTCTCAAAAAAAAAAAAAAATTGTCAACATGGTTGGATTGAAGGATGTCAAATATCGTTCCTGGGTGTGTCTGTGAGGATGTTGCCAAAGGAGATTAACATCTGAGTCAGTGGGTTGGGAAAGGCAGACCCACCCTCAGTCTGGTTGGGTACAATCTAATCAGCTGCAAGTGCAGCCAAAATAAAAGCAGGCAGAAGAATGTGAAAAGGGTAGACTGGTTTTGTCTTCTGGCCTACATCTTCCTCCTGTGCTGGATGTTTCCTGCCCTCAAACATCTGACTCCAAGGTCTTCAGCTTTGGACACAGACTGGCTTCCTTGCTCCTCAGCTTGCAGATGGCCTATTGTGGGACCTCATCTTATGATCATATGAGTCAATACTCCTTAACAAATTCCCCTTTATATATACATCTATCCTATTAGTTCTGCCCCTCTAGAGAACCTTGACTAATATATTGACTTTATCAAAGTTGCAGGATACAAATTCACTGGACAAAAATCTCATTACTGACTTCTCCCTGCCACAGGGTATCTGAAGGGTGAGACCATGCCACATTCATAACCTTTTTTTGGATCTTGAGACCCAAACATGAATCTCAAGATCCATGACAGGCCAAATGAACCTGACAGGCCAAGAAAGTAGATGAGGCCAAGAAAGTAGATGGGTCCAAGGATGACCCATCTACTTTCTTGGCCCATCATGCCCATCTGGCATGTCATATACTATAGCTACCTATCACTGGCCAGAGCCTCCCTGTGATAGCTCTCATGTGTTAATTCATGGGAACTACAGCCTGCAATCTACAGTTGATCTTTGACAACACAGGTTTGAACTGCTTGGGTCCATTTATATGCAGATGTTTTTCCAACCAAACATGGATTGAAAATACATAATTCAGCCGGGTAGAGTGGCTCACGCCTGTAATCCTAATACTTTGGGAGGCCGAGGTGGGTGGATCACCTGAGGTCAGGGGTTCAAGACCAGCCTGGCCAACATGGCAAAACCCCGTCTCTAGTAAAAATACAAAATTCAGCGGGGCATGGTGGCACATGCTTGTAATCCCAGCTACTCCAGAGGCTGAGGCAGGAGAATCGCTTGAACCTGGGAGGTGGAGGTTGCAGTGAGCTGAAACCACGCCACTGCACTCCAGCCTGGGTGACAGGAGTGAGACTCCATCTCGAAAAAAAAAAAAAAGAAAGAAGAAAGAAAAAGAAAAAATATAATTTGTGGGTTTCTGTATCCCATGAATTCTGTCACAACCACATATACTGAGACTTGTATACACAGGTTTTGCAGGTTGAATTGTGAGGCATGGATTTTTGGTATATCAGCAGGGAACAGAGGGTCCTGGAACCAATCCTCCAAGTATGCCAATATTCCTTTTGTGTTTTTTTAGAGATGAAGTTTCCATTATGTTACCCAGGATGGCCTCGAACTCCTGGGCTCAGGTGATCCTCTCACCTCAGCCTCTGGAGTGGCTGGGACAGTGCTGGGCTCTGTACTGCAATTTTTAAAGAACCTGGGAGAAGCAAGTAGGTAATTATAATGGCTACTTTAAGACACCAACCTCCAACCTTAAAAAAAAAGAAAAAAAGACACCAATCTGGTAATATGGGTTCTACTTACATTGCACGTCCTTCTAGGACAGGAGAGAGGTTTCTGAGGATGGAGAGAGCACACAGGACTAATTTGTAGCTAGGGAACTTCAGTCCTCCTATTTCACTGCCCCTGTTGAATTTTCAGTTTTATATGGTGAATCAAATTCATTACTACATAACCACAGTGGGTTAATGGGAGAACTTTGTTCCATGCAATTTTCACTTCAGGAACTGAGGGTGACAGAGACTTTGTCATCTATAATACCACAAATTGCTGCAACAGAAGAAGGGTGTGATAGAGGGTCTCACACCACAGAAGTAATTAACACACATCACTTCTACTTAAAATTCATTTGCTAAAACATAGTATCACTAAGGAGGGAGGAAGTATAATCTTCTCATGTGCCTGGGAGAAGAGAAGATTAGATATAAGTGATCAAGGTCTCTACCACACCTTTTAATAGAGAAATAGTGAATTGTTATACACCCATGAAATATTATACAGCCACTAAAAAGAATAAACTGCAACCATACCACATGTGTAGAGAGATTTACCACGTTTTAGAGAGATTTCCATGACACTGAGTAAAGCAAGACTCTGAAAAGTATACATATTATCCCATGTTTGTAATTTAACCATAACCAGAAAATCCTATGTGTATGTATATATGTGTAAAAATATGACAAACTACTAAATACATTATAACTGTCTTTCTGTCATGGAGAAAAATAAGAAAGTTTACACAGTAGGTTCTTGTCGAGGGTTACCTAAGAGAGTAGAAGTTAACCGAGGGGGACTCAAGTATGTGGAGCAGGGAAGAGAGAGGTTGAGGGAAAAAGCAAAAGAAAAAAAGGGAGGGCACTAAGATTTTATATGCTCATATTTATGCATTAGTGTAAATTATGTATATGTATACTGAAATTTAGAGTCATTTTTTTTAAAACTATCCTTTTCATTTTTATTGCTTTTATAGGACTCAAATGACTGATCTTTTGAAATTAAATGATCCTTTTGGTTCCCTTCATCTCTAAACTCTGATTTTGTAACTTAAATAATGTTGTCTTATCTGTCTCTTGTTTGTCATTTTGTATTTCTAACCCATGGTTGACCTGTCATTGATTAAAGTTCCTGATGTACTACAATAGTCTGTGGAGTATTAATTATACTGAATTCAGGTTACCTAAATTATTAATAATTTATTTCTAACCTTTATATCAACCAAAGCAACTTGCTCTTTGACATCATTAATTTAAATTTACATGAAGTAGAAAACATTTTATTACTGTTAGAGTGATAAAGTTATGAATATTTTTCTCAGGACAGGTATTAGATCTAATCCAAAAGTTTGGAACTTAAGCTTTCAACCTAAGAAATTTTCCCATTGTAATCGAATACCCCTATCTTCCTAAGAGGTGGTTTAATTTTTTTTCCTCTCTTCTCATTTCCCCTGTTCCCTACTTCCTACTTAGTCCTTTAGAAACACAAATATAACCTTTCATCTCCCACTCACCAGACATTCCCTACAGGGGAAGTTCATGTATGTGCTCTTAGATGGATCTCTCCTTGAGAGTTGACAGTCAATTTGCAGACCAAAGCCTGCCCCTTGCACCCCACTATGGAATTCTCACCTCCAGGAGGTCACCTCAGGAGGGCATGTCAAAAGCATGCCCACTTGGCCACTTTTACAACTTAGTTCTTCCCAGGACAGCACCAATTCAACTGCCAGATAGATAAGGCACTGAGCTAGCAGGGGGACACTTGCCCTTGCTCATTTCCTCCCTTACCTTATGAAAGTGCCTGATTTCTACTCCCAAAGTGAAGCAGTATGGCAAGACATATGCATCAGACCTCCCATTTGTTGTTTGGATGCGGCAAGCAACTAAACTGCATTTTGGTTACATTATCTCTTAACTGGACTATTTCAATAGTTGCAATTGCTTTATCCAGTTCCAATTATCCTTAGTTGTCTTCCAAAAGAAAAGTATTTTCCTCAAGTTGGGGCATTGATGATAGAGTTAGGAGACCTTATACTTTATAACCTTTTGTAAAATTTAAATTTAAAAATACTATATTTTTTGTTCCATATGAATTTTAGGATTGTTTTTTCTAGTTCTGTGAAGAATGATGGTGGTATTTTGATAGGAATTGCACTAAATATGTAGACTGCAAAAAAGAGCCCGCATAGCCAAAGCAAGACTGAGCAAAAAGAACAAATCTGGAGGCATCACATTACCCAACTTCAAACTATACTACAAGGTTATAGTCATGAAAAGAGCATGCAACTGGTAATAAAAATAGGCACATAGACCCATGGAACAGAATAGAGAACTCAGAAATAAACCCAAATACTTACACCCAACTGATCTTTGACAAAGAAAATAAAAACATAGAATGGGGAAAGACATCCTATTCAACAAATGGTTCTGAGATAACTGGCAAGCCACATGTAGAAGAATGAAACTGGATTCTCATCTCTCACATTATGCAAAAATCAACTCAACATGGATCAAAGACCTGAAACCATAAAAAGTCTAGAAGATAACATCAGGAAAACCCTTCTAGATGTTGGCTTAGGCAGAGAGTTCATGAAGAAAAACCCAAAAGCAAATGCAACACAAACAAAGGTAAATAGATGGGACTTAATTAAACTAAAAAGTTTCTGCACAGCAAAAGAAATAATCAGCAGAGTGAACAGACAACCCACAGAGTGGGAGAAAATATTCGCAAACTATGCATCTGTCAAAGAGCTAATATCCAGAATCTACAAGAAACTCAATCAAATCAGCCAGAAAAAAAAAAAAAACAACTTCATCAAAAAGTGGGCTAAGGACATGAATAGCCAATTCTCAAAAGAAGAGATACAAATGGCCAACCAACATGAAAAAAATGCTCAACATTACTAATTATCAAAGAAATGCAAATCAAAACCACAAAGTGATACTACCTCACTCCTACAAGAATGACCATAATCAAAAAATCAAAAAACAATAGATATTGGCATGAATATGGTGAAAAGGGGACACTTTTACACTGCTGGTGGGAATGTAAACTAGTACAATCACTATGGAAAACAGTGTGGAGATTCCTTAAAGAACTAAAAGTAGATCTACCATTTGATCCAGCAATCCCACTACCAGGTATCTACCCAGAGGAAAAGAAGTCATTATAGGAAAAAGACACTTGCACATGCATGTTTATAGCACAATTTACAATTGCAAAAACATGGAACCAGCCCCATGGAACACTATTCAGCCATAAAAAGGAATGAAATAATGGCATTTGCAGCAACCTGGATGGAATTGGAGACCATTATTCTAAGTGATGTAACTCAGGAATGAAAAACCAAATATTGTATATTCCCACTAATAAGTGGGAGCTAAGCTATGACAACACAAAGGCATAAGAATGATACAATGGATTTTGGGGACTCGCGGAGGAAAGATAGGAGGGGGTGAGGGATAAAAGACTACTCACTGGGTACAGTGTACACTGCTGAGGTGATGGGTGCACCAAAATCTCACAAATCACCACAAAAGAACTTATCCATGTAACCAAATACCACCTGTTCCCCAAAGCTTATTGAAATAAAAACATTTTAATACCATATTTAAATAATAAAGTCTGATTTTCTTTGCTTATTCTCTTTCCATTTCCCACACCAGAAAAGTCCAGGCTTTGCAATATAACACATAAAATCCTACATGAAGATACCATGGCTTGGTTCTCCTAACTATTCTTCACTTCATCCTTTATATTGCGATTTCTTATGTCTTGGTTGTCTCTTGTCCTCCTTATACACCTATAGCACTCCCATTTATGTCCAAAACCCAGAAGTCCTTCTCTGATGCCTGCATTTATGTCATGAAATTATCATTCACTTCTCTGTAGCTCTTACATGTGTGTACGGTCCAATTAATTACAATTGATTCATTTGTTTACATATAAAATTTTGCTCCTTGACTGTGAGTCATTGAGAGCAGAGATTATATCATACATATAGCCATAGGTCCAATTATTTATTTTCTGCTTTCATGCTCATTAGGATTTCACACAGGGGAATATTCCCTTCTTGAATCACTTTGTTCTTTAGGCTTCCATCATCCCTTACACTCGCTTTTTCCCTCCTACAGCAGTCCCTCCTTCTTAGCTTTTTTGTGGCTCTTCCTTTATTGCTTCACTTTCAAATATTCCTTTACCTCAAGGCTTGGTACTAATTCCTTTCTGTTTTATAACTAACATTTATTACTGTAAAAAGAGTGCATTCAGTTCTGTACTTTAAATAGAACCTATATGTCAATGATTACTAAATACTTACCCTTCTGGAGAATTCTAGATTCATTTATCCAATGGTCTACTCAATATCTCCACTTGGGTATCTAAAATATCTCAAATATTACATATGCCCAAAACCGTACTTCAAAACCAAACTTTGTCCCTTCTCTTTCCCTCACTTAATTCTTATCTCCAGAAATCTTTTTGGTTCCATCATCAAAATATACACAAAGTATTATCTCTGACTGAGTCTCACCTCTTTGCCCAGTCTAGCGTGGCTAATATTTGTTTTTTAATAGCCAATAATTTGGCTGAGGCCCCTTCAGGCCATGCATCTTCTGAAGTTTATGGCCTGCAGACATATTAAATGCTCATTTTTGCTTCAGATAAAGCTTATGCACTATTCACTTAACACCCAGAACTTGCAGCCTGTTTCTGTAAAAACAGTAACTCATGTAAAGATAAGACTACCATAAGCTATAAAGACCCAACAAGTGAAAATTCCTATATGGCTATTTTCCAGATTAGTGCCACCAAAGCCACATCAGAGTTTCAATATTTGTATGTTAATTCCTCTGAATGCCACTCTATTTCCTTCTCAAAGTGCCCAGCCTATTCATCAAAATACTGGAACTTGCAAATATTCTTCTGAATTTTTATTTTATTGAATTTATCCCCTCACAACAGGACCACTCTTCCACCCGCCCTATAAAACTTGCAGCATAGGGATGATCATGTGATTCCTGTAGGAAGCTCCACACTCAAGAGAGAGACAGAGAATAGTGTGTATCCCATATGCCTACTTCTAAACACATCTGATTGATCCTAAATGTATCAGATTAAGTCAATCTCACAAAAAGTGGCTAAAAGGCAGGAAGAGTTTCCTACCAACTTAAAAATAGGCTTTTTCAAAAGCTGCTTCCTATAATAACCTCCAAAATGCATTCAATGTTTAAAAAGGCATTAGTTAATAATCTCGTATTTAGCTTACAAAATTTTCATAATTAAATAATCAAATTATGAATTTGCCAATTGTTCATTAAGACTAGTGGTTTTTAAAGGAGTAGTTTAAAAGTAAAAACAATAATATTAGTTATAAATTTTTGGGGGAGACTTTATTGTAAAAACTGAACTCTCCAGAGTGCAAAGAAGAGTCAAATATAGGATACTATAATAATATGCTTTTAGAAAATTTCATGATTTTTCTAGTTTCCAACATCTAATCTTATTTTTAAATCAGACACTCAACATTTAGGTTGTAAGGTTTTACTTATTGTAAGAATCACTAATATGGTATATGTATGTTTTTCTTAAATATGTATTAATATTTTACTTATTCAACAAATATTGAGTACCTACTATGGGCCAGGCATGATTCTAGCCACTTGGAAAGGAAAGCCAAAGCAAAGGAAACAAAAATCCCTTTGTGAAGTTTACATTCTTGTGAGGAGAGACAATGAATAATAAACATACCAAATAAGGTATATAGTATGTTAGAAGGTATAAGATAAATAAGAAATGCTGGAGGAAGGAGGGGCGTTATAAAGCAGGAAGACACCCAGAATGTTCAAGGAACAGCAAGGAGAAGCAATCTTCCAAAACTTAGGAGCCTTAACTAACTCATTTTGTTTTAACTAAAAGCAAGGAAGAACAATATTTGAAAATTTAAAGACTGTGAACTAATTGTGGCAGACTGGCTAGTTGTTTACCCTTTTCCCTAATCTCCTGAGAGATAACTGGAACATGGGTCACAGTCTCCCCTGAAGTTAGGTGTGGCCATATTGACTTGGTTCTAGAAAGTGAAATGTGGGTGGAAGTGCTATATAATCTCTTTCATGCTAGGTCATTAGAAACTTCCCACATGGATACTCCATGGTGTTTCCCTTTTAGCATAAACCTGGAAGCCAGCTCCTGAAGATGGCAGAATTAGAAGTTGAAAGGAGCCAGGGTTCCTGAATGACTGCCTAGAGGAATGGTTCTCACTAAACAGAAACATTATGTTGGACTTTAGGTAAGTTAGAAGTAAATCTATAGTTAGCCAGAGCAGCTAGTCTTATTCTAAATACTTGAAAATATATAGCTTAACAGACTAGTCTTATTGTAAATATTTAAATTAAAACTACATTAAATGTATAGATTAATATATTAGTTATTTTAATTTGAAAATATATTTATTTATATTATTATTTTTAATATTTGAAAATATATAGCTTCAAATGTGAAATTTCACATTTTCAAGACCAATAATTCTCCAAAAATGCTTGCTCAGGAGACTTATTATAAAGTTTCAATTAAGAGATCAAAAGCTAGAAATCACAAGACCATGGCCAGTTAAGAGAGTATAGTTGTAGTCACACAAATTAAAGGAGGAACAAAATAATTTCTGTAATGTTATTGCATTTCCATTTTTTCTTGGTTAGCCTTTCCTACAAACATAATCTATACCATAAGAGGATTCTAATTTTACTTCACTATAGTTATTTACAGATAACTCTAAAACCATTTTTATTCATGTATTCATTGTTTTCATAAAGCCCATTTACTTTCCTACTCTGAGTCTTTCATACTTACTTTTCTCTCCACAACCTCCAACACTGTCTTCCCTATCCTCATTCTCAGTGCATGATCTTAATTCCAGCTTCACTGAGAAAACTGAAATTATGGAACCAAAACTTCTACAAACTCCCATACACTTACCATCTTCTTGCGCCATATACTCTTCCTTTTTTCCTGTTGCTATGGCAGAAGTGTCTATTCTCCTACTGAAGGCCCAACAGGTTTAATTACCCACTAAATTCCATCCCTCTTCCCTGTTATGACATTCTACAAAAAATTTCCCTTTCTCTCCCACATCATCATTTTCCCCATTCTGAATCTTCCTCTAATTATTTAGATATGTTATTAATTCTTATGTCTTAACAAAAAAACCTTCTGTTGATCCATTTCCCTTTCCAGTAACTTCCCTATTTATCATCTTCATGTGAAGTACAACTTCTTGAGTTTATTACACCTGATAGAGATAGCTGTCTCTGCTTACTCTCCCCCTTTTTCCTTTAAGCCCTTCCAATCAAGCTCCACTTTACTAAAACTGACATTAAGATTACCAATGACCTTCATATTAATAACACATTAATCAATTTTACTTTACCTCTGATTAGCATTTAACACAATTTTTCACTCCCTCTTCTTTGAAACACTTTCTTGCTTGGCTTCCAAGAAACCATAGCCTACTTTTTTTACTACCACTCTGGCCAGTCCTTTGATGGCCCCTTCTCATCTCTCTGACCTGTTCTCTTTCCTAGGTACACTCACTCCCATGACTGTAAATGTTCTCATCCAGTCTGATAACTTTAAATATGATGTTGACTCCCAAATTTATATCACTAGTCTGGACTTGTCTCTAAGCCTGCTTACCATCTCTATTTGGATGTCTCACAGGTATTTCAAACCTAACATGTGCAAAACTACGCTGTTCAGGACAAAAATATTGCCCATTCTCTTTCTTTCATATTCTACCTATATCTTCAAAATATATCCAAAAGTTAACTACTTTACTCCTCTGCTGCTCTTGCTCCTGTTTAAGCCATTACCATCTTTCACAGGCATTACTAAAATAATCTCCTGTTTATTTATGTCCCTTTTTCAATCTGTTCCCAATATAGCAGCCAGAAAGATATTGTTAAAACATAAGTCAGATCATGGTTCTTCCTTGCTCAAAATCATCTACTAATGTCACATCATATTCAGAGAAGCCAAAGTTCTTACAGTGGCCTAAAGTGCTACATAATCTGCCCACTCAAAATCCTCATCCCATTAACTATTAGGCCTTCTCTTCCTTCTACTCTTCCTTTTCCTCACTATCCTTCCCAATACTGGGCTCTTGCTGCTTCCCAGATATGCTAGGCACACTCCCACCTCTGGGCCTTTGTACTTCCTATTCCTTCTATGAGAAATGTTATTCCCTTAGGTAACCCCAGGCTCAGTTGCTGTTTTAATCATATCTTCACTCAAATGTCACTTCAGTAAGGGATATCATACCTAAAATATAGCCTTCTTTATACTCCTTAATACTCTTCCCTGTTTTATTTTTCTTCTTAGCAGTTATCATTAACTAATATACTGTGTTTTATTTATTTTGTTAATTGTCTATTTCCCTCACCAGAATGTAAGCTCTAGGAAAACACAAGTTATTTTTCTGTTTTGTTCACTATTACATCCCCAGTATCTAGAACTCTGTTTGACTCTTAGTAAACATTAATAAATATTTGCTTAATAAATGTTGTATAAATTAAATATTTCAGGAAGTCATACTGGTATAGCCACTTTTTCCTGCCACTAAAAGCCATTTCTCAATTTCATAAAATAAAAAAGTCAAAGCTGCCTCAGAAGTACAAAACTCCTCTACAATGCTCTCAAGACTTTACAATGAATAATATTCCCTCAAAATTATAATGATGAGCTGTTTATAGGACCTAACAGAATCAATAAGAAGCACGTATTTGCATCCAAAATATTTTAATAGTAAAGAATAAAGAATGACCCTCAATAATGCATTCTTAGCATTCAAAGGCTAACTTTACAAATTTGAAAACTTAGTAAAAACAGTTTTCATGAATACAAGAAAAAGTAACAACAATATATAATCATCTAATTATCTGAATACAATGACAGGTTTCCAGACAATATGTAGTTAACATTTAGGCTAAAAATATAAAGAAACACAAATCATTCATGCAAGTATTTTTTAAGTCTCAACTTCCAGATAAAATTTGGCTCTGGCAAATAAGAACAAAATATTAACTATAAGTTTCACGTTATTAGGCTCCTTAACTACACTGATTCTCTGAAATTAAACAAATAACTTTTCAGCTTCTTTTAGTTTTTTTTTTCTATCCATTTTAGCAATTACAGCCCAACGGTCCTCCCGCATTTTTCTTATAGCTCCAAACTTCAGTGTAGATCCAGGGGTTGTTAGAGATGAAGGGGCCTGAGTACAAAATAAAATTTAAAAATCATAACATGTTTAATTTTTTAAGTGCAGCTTTTAAAATTTGCTTTCTGAAATAAAATTTAAAAGCTACCTTTTTTGGTGTTTTGACACAAAGATGAGAAGCTGGTGGATTATTGTTCCTATACAGTGTTTTCAATGTCTCTTCTTCTGAAACCATGCTCTTGAAGAAAAATAAAAAAATATGATGTTGGGTTTACCATCATTAATATTATATTATTAACATTTTGTCAACATATCACATGTGAGGAGAACAAAGAGTAGAAAGAGGAAGGATGTAGAAGGGAGAAGGGCAAAGGGAGGAGGAAAGAGAAAGAAGATTATAGAGAGAAGAAAGAAGACCAAACAAAGAAAACAGTAACAAAATAAATCAATTGGCCAAGAAAGGACCTAGATTTTTATTCTATTAACTGTATTACTGAAAGGCTATGTGAAATACAAGACATGTATAGCGAGTAGCATTTCTCTACTGATTTCTATTTCAGTTTCAGAGTCTTTATAATGCCATCTTGTCCTCCTTCCCTGACCCCGTTTATTCAAACTCACATTTATAGCTTATAACAAGTATTTATAATTCTAAAAAAACTTATAATATTATCTATGATCCAGCAATTCCACTTCTGGATATATACTCAGTAGAATTGAAAGCAGAGTCTTGAAGAGATAATTGTACACCCATGTTAATAGCAGCATTATTCACAATAGTTAAAACATGGAAGCAACCCAAGTATCCATCCGTGGATGAATAAATAAGCAAAATGTGGTGTATACATACAATGGAATATTATTCAGCCTCAAAAAGGAAGAAAATTCTGATATATGCTACAACATAGATAAACCTTGAGGACATAAATGAAAAAAAAAATGGTCACAAAAGAACAAATCCTGTATGATTCTACTTATATGAGATATTTAGTGTAGGGAAAATCATAGAGACAGAAAGTAGAATGGTGACTGCCAGGGCCTGGGGGAAAGTGGAATAAAGAGTTATTGTTTAATGGGTAGAAGGTTTTAGTTGTGATGAAGAGTTATGGAGCTGGATGGTGGTGATGGTTACACAACATTATAAATGTATTTAATAACATTGAACTATATAATTAAAAAGAGTTAAGATGGTAAGTTTTATGTGTATTATACCAAAATAAGAAATAAATATAATGTTGTCACTTAATTTACAATTATTGTAATTCTCCCAAATAATGATAGCTAACACTTATTTAGTACTTTCTAGTACCAGTCTCTATTTTAATCACTTTGCATATTTTAATTCCTTTTAATCTTCATAACAATTTTATAAAGTAGGTATACCATTATCCCCATTTTGCAAGTGAGAAAACTCAGGCATACAAATATTAAGTAATGTACCCTAGATTATATAGCTAGGAAGAGGTGGAAGGAAATTCAAATTCAGGTAATCTGGCTCCAGAATCCCTTCTCTTAATGAATATGAAACACAATTTAGTCATGTAAGCAGTCAGTTCACACAATTTTTTCATGCTCATTAAAGCCACATTTAACAAAAACTTCAGAAGCTTTGTGGATGAGAAATTTCAAACAGATTTTTATAAATCTAAGATTTCAACAGAATTCAATAAATAAGTCATAGAGCTACCTTTGCAGATATACTCAGAATCAGTGTGTACCAACTGACCAGCTTAAACAAGATAAATTATCTTTAAAATCATGTGGTTTAAACTATCATTACAATTTTACTTAGTGCAAGGTAATTGATTATTCATCATGAGTCTCCATATAAAAATGATTAATAAGTTAATTCAATTTAAAACAACAAAACCTTATCATCTGTCCTCATGACTCTTCATAGCATTCATCTTTTCATGTGTTTATAGGCCATTTATGTTTCATCTTTGGAGAAATGGCTATTCGAATCTTTTCTCCCCACTTTTCAATTGGGACTTTTTGTGGTTATTAATTGTGGGAGTTCTTTATATATCCTAGATATCAATCCCTTGTCATATATATGATTTTTAAATATTTCCTCTCACTATTTACCTTGTCTTTTCACTTTCTTGATAGTCTCCTTTAATTCACAACAGTTCTTAATTTTGATGCAGTCCAATTTATCTTTTTTTCTTTCATTACCTGTGCTTTTGGTGTCATCCATAAAAGTTGCTGCCAAATCCAGTGTCATGAAGATTTTGACAGTGTTTTCGTCTATAGTTTTATAGTTTTAGCTCTTAAGTTTAGGTCTTTCATCCATTTTGAGTCATTTTTTATATGATATAAAGGATCCAACTTAATTCTTTTGACATGTGGACAGTTTTCCCAGCACCATATGTTGAAAAAAATGTTCCTTCCCCATTGAATGGTCTTGGCACTCTTGTCAAAAATCAACTGACTATGTATGTGAGGGTTTATCTCTAGGCTCTCTATTCTATTCCATTGGTCTGCCTGTCTGACCTTATACAAGTACTATGCTGTTTTAATTACTAGCTTTGTAGTAAGTTTCAAAGTTAGGAACTGTGAGTCCTCCAACTCTATCCTTATTTTTCAAGATTGTTTTAGCCTTTTGGGGCCCTTTGCAATTCCACATTAATTTGAGTATTTTTTCCATTTATGCAAAAAAAATTGTTGGAATTTTTATAGAAATTGCATTGAATCTGGAGATTTGGGTACCACTGACATCTTAACAATATTTAGTCTTTCTATCAATAAACATAGGATGTCTTTCCATTTATTTAGGTCTTTCAAAATTTCTCTCACCAGTGTTTTGTAATTTTCAGTGTACAAGTATTTTACTTCCTTGGTTAGATTTGTTCCTAAGTATTTAAATTCTTTTAGATGCTATTGTGAATAGAATTTCTTTCTTAATTTCATTTTTTGATTGTTCATCGCTGGTATATAAAAACATAATCAATTTTTGTATGTTGATATTGTACCCTACAACTTTGCTGAATTTATTTATTAGCTCTAATAGCTTTCTTAAAGAGTCTTCGCAATTTTCTATGCATAAGATCATGTCATCTGTGAAGAGAGGCAGTTTTACCTCTTCCTTTCCATCTGAATGCCTTCTATTATTTTTCTTTTATAGTATCTCTAGTTAGAATTTACAGTACAATGTTGAATAGCAGCAGTGAAAGTGGGCACCCTGCCTCATTCTTAATATTAGGGGGTAAGTCTTTCAGTCTTTCACCATTGAGTATGATGTTAGCTAGGGGTTTCCATAAATACCCTTTATCATGTTGAGGAGATTTCCCTCTATTCCTAATTTTCTGAGAGGTTTTCTACCATGAAGCATGTTGGATTTTGCCAGGTACCTTTTTTTGCATCACGATGATGATATGGCTATTTTTTCCTTTGCTCTATTAATGTGGTTTATTACACTGTTTTATTTTCTTATGTTGAACCTCCCTGGCATTCCTGGGATAAATTCCACTTGGCCATGGCAAATAATTTTTAATATGCTATTGAATTTGATTCGCCAATATTCTGTTGAGTAGTTTTACATCTAATTCATAAGAGATATTGGTCCGTAATTTTCCTTTCTTGTGGTGCCTTTATATGCTTTGGTATCAAGGTAATTAATGCTGGCCTCATACAATGAGTTAGGAGGTGTTCCTTCTTCAACTTTTTGGAAGAATTTAAGAAGAATTGATGTTAATTATTTTTAAGGTCTTAACATATATGTCAAATTTTTATTCTGAGAAGTTTTTACCAATTTATACTCCTCTATCAGTGTATTTGGATTCAAGCTTCCAATAATAATAATCACAATTTTAATATTAATTGATCATTTGCCCTGTGCCAGATGATCTGCTAAACATTTTATAAGCATTATTTAACTTATTCTCAAAAAGCCGTGAGGTGATTACTAATATTATCTGTATGCAAGGGATACAGATAAAGAGATGCGTAGGGCAAGGTATGGGGGAAGGTGCATGGCACTTTCATGCCTTTCTTGGGTGTGCCACCCTGTGGGAAATTCCCTGTGTTCAGTTATCCAGAAGCTCTAGTGTTAATTCTTTAAATATTTGGTAGAATTTATCAATGAAGCCAACTGGTCCAGAACTTTTCTTTGTTGAGGTTTTTGATTACCAATTTAAACTCTTTACTTGTTACAGGTCTATAGAGGTTTTCTATTTCTTTTTGAGTTCATCTAAGGAATTTGTGAGTTATAAGGAATATTTCCATTTATTCTGGGTTATCTAATTTGTTGGCATACAATTATTTATAGTATTGTCTTATGATTCATTTTATCTCTGAACGGTCAGTAGTATCCCCACTTTCATTTTTAATTTTGTTCTCTCTCTCTAGCTAAAGGTGTGCCTATTTTGTTGATCTTTTCAAAGAACCAACTATTTTTGGTTTCATTGACTTTCTTGTTTTCTATTCTCTAACTTAGCTCTGTTCTAATCTTTATTATTTCCCTCAATCTACTAGGTTTGAGTTTAGTTTGCTCTTTTTTTTCTAGTTCTTTACTAAGGTATAAAGTTAGGTTATTGATTTGAGATCTTTCTTAATAGGCACTTATAACTACAAATTCCTCTCTGAGCACTGTTTTTGCTGTATCCCATAAGTTTAGGTATATTGTGTTGTCCTTTTCATTAATCTCTAAGTATTTTCTAATTTCCCTTGTGAATTCTTCTTTGACCCACTGATTGGCTAAGAGTGTGTTGTTTAATTTCCACAAATTTGTAAATATTCCAGTTTTCCTTATCTTATTGATTTCTAACTGCATCCCATTGTGGTCAAATAAAATATCTTGTGTAATGTCTATCCTTTAAAACCTATGAGATTTGTGACCTAACATATGATCTATCCTGGGGAATGTCTCATGGGCACCTGAAAGAATATGTATGCTGTTGTTGTTGGGTAGAATGTTATACATGTCTGTTAGACCTAATTAGCTTATTGTGTTGTTCAAGTCCTCTATCTCCTTATCTTCTGTCTGGTTGTTCTATTCATTATTGAAAGTGGGTTACTGAAGTGTCCAACAATTATTTTAGAACTGTCTGTTTCTCCCTTCAATTCTATGAAGTTTTGCTTCATATATTTAGAAGGTCTGTTATTAGGCGTGGACATGTTTAAAATTGTCATATCTTCTTGCTATATTAAACTTTTTATTATTAATGTCCTTTGTGTTTCTTGCACTTTTTAATTTAAAGTCTATTGTGTCTGATAGTAGTATAGACACTTCAGCTATTTTTTGGTTACTATATGCACAGAATATCTTTTTCCATTCTTTCACGTTTTATCAATTTGTGGCTTTGGATCTAAAATGAGTGTCTTGAAAACAGCATATAGTTTTCATGTTTTTAAAATATATTCTGCCAATCTATATCTTTTGATAGGAGAGTATAATCTATTTACATTTAAAGTAATGATCTATAAGGAAGGACATAGCTCTGAATTTTGCTATTTGTTTTCAATATGTCTTATAGGGTTTTGTCTCCATTATTATAGGGTTTTGTCTCCTCCATTACTGTCTTATTTTCCATTTAGGTGACTTTTGTACTTGAACATTCTGATTCCATTCTCATTTCTTTTTGTGTATATTATATAATTTCATTGTAGTTACCATGGAGATTACATTTAACTTCCTAATGCTATAACAATCTAATTCAAATTTATACCAACTGAACTTCAATAGCCTATAAAAACTCTGCCCCTACACAGCTCCATCTTCCCTGTTTTGTTTTTGGGGTTTTTTTTGGTTTTTTGTTTTGTTTTGTTTTGACAGGATCTAATTCTGTCACCCAGGCTGGAGGTCAGTGGTGTGATTATGGCTCACTGCATCCCTGACCTCCCAGGCTCAAATGATCCTTACACCTCAGCCTCCTAAGTACCTGGGTCTACAGATGTGCACCACAATGCCTGACTAATTTCCATATTTTTTGTAGAGACAGGATCTCATTGTGTTACCCAGGCTGGTCTCAAACTTCCACCTGCCTCAGCCTCCCAAAATGCTGGGTTTACAGGTGTGAGCCACTGTGCCCAGCCCATTTTCTGTTATTGATGTCACAAACTACATCTTTATACATTGTGCGCCTAGTAACATAAATTAACCATTTATATGCATTTGTCTTTAAAATCATATAGAAAATAAAAACTGAAGTTACAAACCAGAATAACAATACTACTAGCTTTTATAAATTGCCCATGTATTTACGTTTACCAGAGATATTTATTTATTCATACAGCTTCACTGTCTAGCAGCCTTTCCATCTGAAGATGTCCCTTTAGTACTTTTTGAAGAGCAGGTTTAGTGGTAACAGACTCTTTATGGCTTTTGTTTATCTGGAAATATCTCAATTTCTTCTTCATTTTGAATGACAGTTTTGCTGGATATAAAATTCTCAGTTGATAATTTTGGTCTTTCAGCACTTTGAATATATAAATTCACTGTCTTCTGGCATCTAACATTTCTGATGAAAAATCAGCTGATAATTTTGTTGAGAATAACTTGCATGTAATGAGTTGCATCTCTCTTGCTGCTTTCAAGATTCATTTTTTCTCCCAACAGTTTGATTATAAAATGTCTTGATGGGGGCTTTTTGGAGTTTGTTGAGCTTCGTGAATTTGTATATTCATGTCTTTCATCAAAATTTGGGAAGTTTTTAGCATTTATTTCTTCATATAACTCTTTCCACCTCTCTCTCTCTTTTTCTCTCTCTGTCTACCCCCCCACCTCTTCCTCTCTCCCTCTTCTCCTTCTGGAATTCCTACAATGTATATATTGGCCCAGCTGATGGTGTGCTACAAGACTCTGAGGCTCTGTTCACTTTTCTTTTCTTTTCTTTTTCTTTTTTTTTTTTTTTTGCCGTTTATCAGACTCAGTAACTTCAATTGTCTATCTTTACGTTCACCAATTCTTTTTTCTGCTTACTCAAATCTGCTTTTAAATCCCTCTAGTGGGTTTCTCATTTCGGTTATTGTACTTTCAGTTCCAGAGTTTTTTTCTGGTTCTTTTTATAATTTCTAACTCTCTATCAATATTCTCATTTTATTCACACAAAATTAGGGTTTTTTTTTCTTTGTCCATGTCTTCCTTTAGCAATTTGAGCTACTTTAAGACAGCTGTTTTGAAGTCTTTGTCTAGTAATTCCAATGTCTGAGCTTCCTCAAGGATAATTTCTGTTGGTTTGTTTTGTTCCTTTGAATGGATCATATTTTCCTATTTATTTGTATGCCTTATGATTTGTTACTATTGGTCTTTTGGTTTAAAAAAATTTTTAGAGACAAGGTCTCACTCTGTCACCTAGGCTGGAGTGTAGTGACATAATCATAGCTGACTATAACTTTGAACTCCTGGGCTCAAGTGATCCTTCTACCTCAGCCTCCTGAGTAGTTAGACTACAGGCCATGTGCCACCACACCTGGCTAATTTTTTAAATTTTTGTATAGAGAGGGTCTCACTGTTGCCCAACTTAGTCTCAAACTCTTGGCCTCAAGAAACCTTCCTACCTTGGCCTCCCAAAGTGGTGAAATTACAGGCGTGAGCTATTGTGCCTGGCCCTTGTTGTTGAAAACTGGACATTTGAATATTATACTTTGGTAACTCTGGAAATAAGATTTTCCCTCTTCCCCGGGATTTTCTGTTTTTGTTTGTGTTCTGTTTTCTTTTGTTTTACTGTTGAAAGTCTGTGCCAGGGATCAGCCTGAGATAAAAGCTTATGGTCTTCTCCCGTCTTTTTTAAGCCTCTTTGCTTAAACATGTGCTATAGCTAAATTCCTTTTTGCTTTGCTTTTGAATATCCTAATCCTTAAATGCCTGGCTTCCCAAAGGGTAAAGATGGAAAAAGAGAAAAGGAAAAAAAAAAAAAGATAGATGTGCTTCATGTAAATTCCTGGAAGTTGCTTCAGCCAGTGGGGGTTGAAACACTGAACTCTGATGTTTGAAGGACAAGTCCTATTGCCCCCTCTGGCACCAGCAAGTCACTCAGGGAACATGAGCATGGCTTCCTGACACAGGACTGTAGGCTGGGGAGACTGGTAGCTGCTATCATATTTTAGGCTGAAATCAACCTAAATTAACTGCAATTTACCAGCTAACCTTTCCCCTGGAAGCTATAAACATTCAAATAAGACTGCATACTTATAAAATAGTTACTTCAGACAGTTTCTGCCAGTATACTTTTTGTCTAGGTAGAGAGATGGATTCCTGGCACTTCCTACTCCACCATCTTCCTGAGGTCATGCTCAACAACCCATTTTTAAATCTTAATTTTTATAATTTGAATGTTCAAAATTTAACTACATAAGCTAAGAAAATTACAAAATGACTAATAGGTTCATATAATAATTATAACCAGGAAACTGATTGTGAAATGTGTTTTTAGACTAGTTTGAACAATTGTGTGCAATTCTATAATACTGTAATATGTTTATTGTGTTGCAAGTTTGTGATGCTCCTTTTAGAAATGAAATGAATCATGTTGAATCATTCTGAATCTCAGATCAGCTAAGAAATTGGCCTAAACTCAAACTGCTAGAATAATAACAGGGATTACAATCCTAGAATGTTTAATTCTAAAGCTCATTTTCTTTCTAATTCTCATTACATTTTTATATATCTGGACTACATTTTGAATTGGCAGTTATCATGTGCAATGACTTACATAGTCTATGAAGCCAGACTGTGTTCAAATTTTGGTTCCATGTCTTACTAACTATGTGATCTTGAAAAATATACTTGTGTGACTCAGTTTCCTCATCTGTAAACTGGAAAGAACAGTATATACTGTGATCTCTTAGTATCCATGGGGGATTGGATCCAGGATCCCTCCATGCATGCCAAAATCTGTGGATGTTTATGTAAAATGATATAATATTTGCATGTAACCTATGTACTTCCTCCTGTATACTTTAATCATCTCTAGGTTACTTATAATACCCAATACAATGTAAACACTATATAAATAGTTATGTTGTATTGCTTTCTTATTTATATTATTTTCTACTGAATTGTTATTTATTTTTTTTTTTTTCAAATTTTTTGGCCTGTAGTTGGTTGAATACACAGATGTAGAACCTGTGAATACAGAAGGCCAACTGTATTTCTAAAGGCTGGAATTGTTATAAGAAATAATTAAAGTAATCTTCGTTGTATAAAGTGTTTACAATAGTACCTGGTTCACAGTTTTAATTGTTAAGATGTTGATAATTATCTATAAAACAAAGGGGTTCTGAAGTAGGGACTCTATATGTTAACTTCAATATTTAGGGTTTTAAGACTTCAACTACTCATTATTCCAGAAAAAAATGAAAATAGAAGGTCCCAAAGTAGTAGAAAAGCTTGAAGGATCTTCTAGTTATAAGTGGGAATAATAAAACAAATGAATTTAACTGGGATTTTGTCATTAAGAATTTTTGGTGCATTGCTCCATTTACTCTGGTATGGTTCACCTTTTTAAAAAAATTAAATGAATCTAAGCTTCATTATTCTCAATAAACCATTATTATGCCTTCAGAAAACAGTGGTATATGTGAATGGGAGTAATTAGTGATACAAAGTGCTAGAGGAAATAGCCTGCTTAAACATGCTGTCCTTAATACATTAACTTCTTTAGAGTGATGGAAATGTTATAGTTGTCAACCAATACCTTGATATAAATATCAACCAGTGATGTAAAAGGAGCATGTATAATATGCAAAATAGAGGGGACGCCTAAATAACAGATTTGGCACAGTAAAATATTCACTCCATCTCTCTTTTTAAAAATATAGTAAGAACTCCTTTATGACATTCTTCTAGAAAACAAGACAATGATTAATCATATCGTATGCCCATTGTGCTATATCAAGTATTTTCAAAGTGCCAGGTTTTCTGAAATTTACAGGGAAATTATTTGAACCCTAATTTTTCTGAAATGCTGCAAAAGCACAAGGATCTGCATTTTAGCAGAGCTCCACTGTATATCAGTATTGCAATGGTAGGTACTATGTAAATATATTATACATGTATATCAAGGAAAATAGTATACAAATAAGTAATATAAATAAATACTAAATATTATTTGTAAAATTTTTACCAAAAGATCAGTAGTTTCTGAACTATCTGAATTAATATCAAATTCAAAGGCCATTTTTCTCTTTTTTTTACTTTCTTCAATGGGTATATTCAAGTTTTCTCTTTGCTGTAGTTTTGGTTTTGTTGGTGTCTTCACTGTATATGCCTATCCAAAAATAAAAAACCATACATTATCATATCAAATAAAATATGCATTATTAATAAAGGGTTTCACAAATAATTTTAAGGCAATTTGAGTCCTTAGCAATCAGAAACCTCCATTATTATTGGCAAGTATATGAGGCAAAAATTTTGGATAAGAATTTAATTCAAATGTTTTTGATACTATAAGTTGTCTTTCTTCAAAAATTTACAATGGTAGACTTTCTCTGCCTTTCCTTTAACTTGCTGAAGAAAATAAGAAAGAGAAAGAGTGAAACAGAGAGACAGACACACTCCAGATTCAGCAATCAACAATCTTAGGGGCCTTAATATTTCTAATCATGATCGAAAAAAATAACTGAGTGAGCTTTGCTCTCTCTACAAAACACCTTATTACATTGTGAGAAAATATGCTTGCTTATTTTTATATTGGTAAAGTAATTCACATTAGTCAATGTTTCACATTCTATACTATCTTGTAATTTTTATAATTTGTAAAAGTATCTTTAAAAAGTAAGGTCAAAAGCCAAGTACAGTGGCTTATGCCTGTAATCCCAGCACTTTGGAAGACCAAGGCAGGAGGATTGCTTGAGGCCAGTTCAAAACTAGACTGAGCAACATAGCAAGACCCCAACTCTAAAATTTTTTTTAATTAAAAAAACATAGCCAGGTATGGTGGCCCATCCCTATAGCCTCAGCTACTCAGGAGGCTGAAGCAGGAGAATTGCTTGAGCCAGGAGTTCAAGGTAGCAGTGGGCCATGATCATGCCACTGCAGCCCAGCCCAGGCAACAGAGCAAAAACAAAAATTAAATTAAATGTAATTTAAAAAGTTAAGGTCAGAGACATCAGTACAAATGGCAGAGTAATGAGCTCTAAAAATTCACTCCTCCATAAAAGCCATAAAAATATTGGTAAAAACTTGTCGGAATCAGTTTTTTTCAGAACTCTGGAAATTAACCAAAGGCTTGCAGCCACCTGGAGAGTGCTTATTCTTTAAAAAAATAAAATAAAATGGCTAAACCTCTTTAGGAAACCCAAACTTCGTGGTGTCTTAACTTCCCCAGTCCCATCCCCTGCTCTAGCTCTATGTTATCCTTAAAGAATAACAGCCCACGTTCCTGGGGCAGCCTGGCAACCACCAGACAGAACAGAACAGAACAGAACTGAAGCTCTTTCAAAGCTTTATTCCCAAAGAATTGTCAGTATTTGATTTGTCTGGTGAGTCTCTGCAAGATCCCACTTACAAGGCTGATAGCTGATTACATTCAACCTGAGGGCTCACTAGTGAAAAAATGCCTTCTCCTTGGTGTGTGTGTGAAGTAGGGGGCAGAATTTGTCAAAAACAACAAACGTTTTAACTTTGCAGCAACGTGAAGCAGTGATGAATAGTTGGGACAAACAAAAGACTAACCAAAAACCTTGAAAGAAAAGCTAGGAAATGAAATATCCATGGGGAAGCTTTGAAAAGCCTTGATATATTCCTGGAAATATAGAAGGCCACGCATATGTGTAGGGCTATCTATAGGCTCAGGAAGGTCCTGAAAAGGCCCTAAGTTTTCACCACTGGCTAATCTTGAGATTCTCTACAAGCAGGAATGGAAAGCTAAGGCAGAGTTGTCAACTACCTGGCTAAGTGTTGAAAGCATGCCCTTATACACATATAATAGAGACCTTTGACAAAGATTGGGAAATTTATTCATTCTAGGCATTTGAAGAAATTTGTGTCCAAACATTAGCTAAAAACTAAGCTAATCAAGGAGAACCTTTAGTGGCACTCACAACAAAAAATACAAACTTTACAGAATTAGTCTAGAAAAGTCACAAAACAAACAATAACTACAACAAGTAGCAACAACAAATCATGGGAATAGGAGAGAATCTGATTTCCAGAGTTGTTATATTTTTAAATGGCCAGTTTAAACAAAAAATATGAGACATGCAAAGAAAGAAGAAAGTATGGCCCAAATAGAAAAGTAAAAGAACAAACAACAGAAACTCTCCCTGAGGAAGCCTTGACATTGGACTTAACTAGACAAAGATTTAAAGTCAGCTATTTTAAATATGTTCAAAGAGCTAAAGAAAATTATGTCAAAGAAATGAAGAAAAGCATGAAAACAACATCTCACTAAATGGAATATCAATAAAAAGAAATAAATTATCAAAAGAACCAAATAGAAATTCTGGAATTAAAAAATACAATAGCTGAAATGAAAAATTTACTAGAAGGGCTCAATAGCAGATTTGGGCAAGCAGAAGAAGAATCCATGAGCCTGAATATAATTCAACTGATATGGAATAGAAAAAAAATGAAGAAAAACAAAGTCTCAGAGACTTGCAGACACCTTGCAGACACCATCAAACACAACTGGGAAACTGAGAAGGAAAAGGCGTAACATTTAAACTTAGTGGGATGGAGACAATTGAGATCCTTTTCAACTCCCAAGACAAGTGAGGCAGGAACTCCAAGAGCATCTTTATAAAGAATATTAGGAGTGCTTCCAAGAAAGAAAGACTGGCATCTCATTCCCTAGTTAGATATGAATGTAGGCAGCAAATTTGTTTGTCTTTGTATCTAGCTGAGGAGAGGAAAAGGAAACGAGAGAGAGGTAAGAGAGATCAAAAGTAAAGCATCTGCACTGCCATTTAGCATGGAAAAGTTGTATGAATTCCCCATGGATTAAGTGGCTATATGAAAGACAGTCAGAACTGAGCCACTTTGCTAGAGGCATCTGCTCCAAGATGACTGCCAAGGACTACAGATGCAAGATGATTGGGGTAAACAGCAAAGGGAAGTAGTAACTGTGGTGATGCTATAAAATGTCAAGTCAGAATCAGATTTCCTGTGTCAGGGCCTTAAACACTGATAAATAACTATTAAGTTATGAAATCTGCCCAAGATGACATTAAGTTGTGGACAGTGATCGAAAAAAATGAAACAATTTCATGTTGAAGGCCAGGCACAGTGGCTTACACCTATAATCCCAATACTTTGGGAGGCCAAGACAGGAGGATGAGTTAAGGCCAGGAGTTCAAGACCATCCTAGGCAACACAGCAAGACCTTGTCTTTACATTTCATGCTGATACCACAAAAAAAATTGAAACTTTCAAGAAACTAGTTATATATGTGTGCGTGATGCCAGATATATGGTGATAACAGAACTTTATTTATTTATTTAAAAAATTACTACTAACATGGAAAATTTAGACACAAACCTTTGGCAATGGTGTAGATAAAGTATTTTTGGCAGATGTCCACAGATAGTCTCTTTTATCTTTGGATATGCCATGATCAACTGATGTGAAATTTCGAGATACAGTTTGTGAAGGAACTGCTTTAGAATCCAATTTCCAATAAATTTCAGGTGTTTCCAATAAAAATGTTTGTGTTTTCTGCATTGAACAACAAGAATGAATAAAACCATCACTAAATGTCACATTAATTATTTATTTCTTTAATTAAAGTGCAGCAACTAGTAGAATTCACAACAAAATAAGCAAATTTATCCCTAAATTTATCACTGACTAGATAAGTTTGAATAAGTTACAGTTATCTTCTTTGTCACTTTACTTGTCCATTTAAGATGCAAATGTTATCTGCCCCTGCCTGTCTTCACAGAGCCTCTATGAAAACAAATAAGATATCCTGGAGGTCGTTATTCTTAGCAAACTAATGCAGGAACAGAAAGCCAAATACCACATGGACTCATTTATAAGTGGGAGCTAAATCATGAGAACACATGGACACATAGAGGGAGACAACAAAACACACTGGGGCCTATGGGAGCATGCAGGATGGGAGGAGGAAGAGGATCAGGAAAAATAACTAACGGGTATAGGTTTAATACCTGGGTGACAAAATAATCTGTACAACAAACCCCCATGACAGAAGTTTACCTATATAATAAATCTGTACATGTACCCCTGAACTTAAAATAAAAGTTAAATTTTTAAAAATGAAAACAAATAAGATATCTCAACTCTCTGACCAAAAGTTGAGGATTCTCTTTAAAAAATAAAAAAAAATCTTTACTCCTGGTGGCAAAAAGCCCTAATCTATGGTTCATTACAATAGCCTAAAAGTCAGAAGGAAATCTATTCTAACTTTCATTCGTTCTCTTTCATACATTGATACTTCTTCTTTTTCACCTATAAAAATATCAGCCTTTTCCTATCCACCAGCCTAACTTGCCTCCAAAAGCAAGGAGAATAATTATGAAAGTAAAGAATGAGAAAAATTTTCAGGGAAAAAAACTGAGAAAATGGCTATTTGCTTCAATTCTAAATAAATAAATTGCAAGTTTACTCTAAATACTTGACATTTTTTCAACTCAGTTTCCTCAGTTCTCTTTCACTCTACCTTTGTATACAGCTTCTTTTAGCACCTGACCTAACTTTCTAGTAAAAGCTAGTAATAGTTGCTTTAGTGGGATTCTACATGAAACTCATGCTCATCACTTTCTATTTTACAGTTTCTTTGGTCACCACCATCTCCACGAATACAATCGTGGCAATTATTCATAAGGAAATTGTAAGGAAATTGAGGCATGTTAATTTACTCAATTCCACAGCTAGTTAGCTGTGAAACTCAAATTCCCCTTTTTCTAGAATCGTGTTCTTTCAGTTCTCCTACTGCCTTTCATTGTAGAGCCCTCCTTTACAGGACCATGTTCTTCTGAGAACATCTCTCCTTTCTCTGAATTCTCTAGAGCACACACACACAAAAAGGGAATACAAGGACAAAATTTGAAAGCATGGTGGCTGAACTTTCAGTGCGTTTAAATTAGAGTATAGGATAAAGAGGCAACTACATGTACTATAAAAAAATCATTGAACTAGGAGCCAGGTACATCATATGGTCTTTTCTCCTAGATCTTTCCTATCTTTCCGGATTATTTAAGTAAATCTTCAAGTATCTCCAAGCTTAAATTTATTCATCTATAAATCAAGAGGCTAAATGAGATGGCTTATATCTTTCCTGCGTAATTCTAGTGATCTGTCATTTCATAATCCTTTTTCTAGCAAGTATGAATTTTTTCAGAATTGCATTTCTGTATCCTTTTCCCTACATATTTATACATCATAGTTGATGACAAAATTTTGATGAGAGCAATTTTTTTACTGCTCTCTGGATTCATCAGGGGTAAACTTTGGAACCGCCAAAATGTAACTGCTTTAATGGACAAATTGTTCCTCCCTACAGGTAGGAGAATGACAATTTAAGGTCACTGCACCACCTTGTGGCCATATCTGGAATTTGACATTTCGCTGGTAGCCTAAAGAAAATTCTCATGTGACAATACTGAACTATCCCTTTCCAGAAAATTCACAATTTTCTCTGTTGTATTTTTCAAACAAACATTTATAAGGCATGTGCTATGTCCCAAGCACTATTTTAAATGTTTTACAAATACCATCTCATTTAATCCTCATAACAACTTTAGGAAATAGGTATTATTATTATCCCTTTATAGATGAGAAAATTGAAACACGAAGAAGTTAAGTAACTTGTCCAAACTCAGAAACGTTTGGTAAATTTAACAAGCCTTATGTTTCAGTAGTGTTGGAATAAAGCACAGCAAAAAAAAAAAAAGCCTAGTTAAATTTCTTCATTCATCATTTTTCTCATTTTCCAACATATATATGGTTCATTTTCCAACATATATATCTAGACTCTCAGATAAAATATATGGCATTTGCTAATCTACTTGATAATGGAAACATATAGAATTGTACATGAATCAAAATATCTCTATAAGAATATGTGATACATACTTTCATAATATGAAGACATTCTAAATTTAAAAAAGAATATTGGAGATTAACCAATTTGCTTATATTCATTAGATACTTCCTTAAGTCTATATCTAACCATTCTGCATAATTTTATTATGATTATAATTTCTTCAGATATAATGTTTTCAAGTGTCTAGCACAGTGTCTGGAACATACAAAGCACTCAGTATTCACTCACAGGTTCAGTGCATCTTTCCTTTATTCTCTTTTAACTCAAGTGTAATAAAATATAATGAACTGTTCTCAAACTACTCTGAGTGTCATTTCCTTCCAGTTTAACTATAATCAGAGCAACCTCTGTGGGAACTTAGGAGATTATATCACTATATGTAAAGAAAATTCTTAATCATTTTAACCAAAAATTTGCTAAATCAAAATTCTTCTGCAATGATCCTATATTATCAAATAGGTTAGAAGCTGAGGGGTATTCTTCTTCTCTATGACTGATGTTTCCTTCCATATGTAGGGAGTACCACTAGGGTAACATTCCAAACCTCTTCCTGATTCCTTAGGGGAGAAAAAATTACTTAATGTGATTGGTGAATTTAAAGAAAAGGAGAAGCTGGACACATACAGCTCAGCCTCTTCCTTATTACTCCCCTTGAGAACTATTAGAATTACACATAAATTCTGCTCTTCTCCTTTATACCCTAAGTTTTACAAGAGCAGATGATCAAGTGGGTAGACCTATGCTAGTCAAGCTCTACTTGTGGCAGAAGATAAATTTGTCTAATTTGGGATTTCAAGATTAAGAGATCCTATTGCCTTCAAATATAAACTGCATTCTCCAGTATTTAAAATATTGATACTTTTTAATAAAGTCTTCAATAATAAAAATATTATTTTTATTCTCCCTTGTCTTTCTCAATTGGTTCAGAATATAAGTGAGGAAAACAGGATGTCATTTATTAAGCCCCCTCAAAACCCAAAATTAGACATAATCTAAATAAACTTTAGAATTGTTTATGAAAATATTTTGCCTCTAACATTAAAAAATTCTTAAGAGAGAAACACAGAGGTACCTAATTAAATTAAAACTATAATAAGAATTGTAGAGAAAGACTGAAACCTTCTTTTTTTCTTCTTTTTTGTTTCTGCATTAGACTGAAACCTTCTCCAAATCTCCAAATGACAAAATTTTGAAATTTTTAGCTAAAATGCTTTTGAATTAATAAATAGCAAGAAACAATTTAGAAAATGAAATTGTATGATATATGTAAAATGTTATTTTCCTACTTATAAACAAAAAATCATTTCTAAGTAGAAGTTAGAAAATGAATTGGTATTTTAAAACTATGAGAATTATATGCTCTTACCTTGTCTTTTTTTTCTTTAAGAGTAGCTGTGTTTTCTTTTGCCTCTCTTTTGAGTTTTTCCTATTAAAAATAAATATCAAGTACAAGTAACATAAACATCACAATGATCACAAATGAATATTATCAAAATCTTTCCTAGTAAGTATTAACAAAGAAAGATGACGAACCTCTCAATCTTATAAAGTAATAAAAAGAAAAAAAAGAAAAGTTAGTTCCTTTCTACAGAGGTATTATTTGGTTTTGATTATCTCTTCCTTTATTCTAATCAGTCTCTAGTGTATATCTGTGGACTTTTGAATAAGTCTCTTAAAACTCTGAATCTCAGCTTTCTTATTTGTAAAATAAAGCTAATGGAACAAATTACAGAATGAGAGATACGCACAAGTAACTAAGCTGTGAAAAGTTGCAAAAAGATCTAAAATATTGTGAGCCTTTACAGGCAGAATTAGATTTTTCTATGCATGTTGAGAAAAGGTGCAGTTCAGTTAGACTTTGGGTATGTGTATAGTCAAGATAAAAATGGAAAGGAGAGCTGTGGTCAGAATGGAAAGAGTGATATGCTAATATCATTAGATAGAATTTATTCAGTAAGATAAAAGAAAAGCCTGGCCTACATAAATGAATATGTAGGGTGCCTGTAATATGACAACCATCTGAAGCACAAAATTTTTACAACTCCAGGGAGTATTAGAGGTCTTAGAAAGTAAAAATCTCCAAGTGTGCAGAATTTTAGGCAGTAAAACTCGCCCATGATGTCTATGCCAGTATCTATCCTCACTGAATACCTTGCATACACCATGTTATCTCTCCCATAGCATTGCTCCTAATCACAGAACTCACTTCACTATGAAAGAAGCTGGCTGTAAACTGATGCAATAGTATTTACTGTTCTTATTATGTATCCTATAACCTACCAATGGTTGATCTTCAGTTATAGTGACAATTGGAGTCTACTCTAAGGGGCTGGAATGCTGTCTTTTAGGACAAAGCACATTTTCTAAACCAGCAATATCGTAATGACTCTCAGAATATGTATCTTGGCTTCTAGAGGACAGACGGGAGAAACCATCGCCTACAACTGCACTGTCTCTGCAATTCTGACTTTTCCTCGTCTGGAGATCTTGGTAAAGTCTCTTCTAATATAATATATGTTTCCAAGGTATGAAACAGCTCATACAAGAATGCGTATCTTTAGTGGTAGCTAAATAATCATCAGTTCCCTTAAACCAAAGAGATGGCCAGACCACTAAGGTTCCTATTTAATCTGAATAAGTAAGATATTCCTATAATACGGCCTGGCAAACAGAGAGTTGACTTGATCACCAGAGTAGAGAATGACAACCTTGTAACCAAATTTTGGATCTAAATAAACGTATCAGCCTATAGCCTTTTGAATAAAAAGGAAGCCTGGTACTCTAGTGGAAAAGTTCTGAAATAATATCACAAATACATACTGCATCCTTCCTACTATCTTGTGCACCAAGGATTAAAATATTAAGACATGGGTAATTGCACATCAACTAACATTAATTATTGGGAATCTATAATGCCACTATTTTTTCACTGGTCAGAGTGCAAGCATATCAGCATCAAGCAATAATTAGAATTTTATCAGAGTCTACTTCATGGTGAGCCCATGGAACCATAAACCTATCTTGTGCTCATTTTTTTAGATTCTAAGAATATAGTTTGAACAAACTCAATAAAAGGAATAATCCCCATGTTTGTTCTGACCACAGAGTCACAGAGTAAGAGATTTTAAAGTTGAAAGGACCAACTTTGAATCTCTCTCTCCATATCAAGATAGTAAACAAATTTCACATTGCTAGGCAGAGATTAAGGCCCCATCAAATTAATGAAAGATATAGGAAAAATGATTTATCATAATCCCAAAAAGCCAATCTATTTTAATTAGAAGTTAAGACAGTCATCTAGTAACAGTTTCCTATACCAATGGGCTTATAGGTAAAGTGGGGATTGTCATATTGACTGAGAACTTGGAAAAAAGTTGCATATAAAAGATGAGCTGAATCTATGTAAATATAAAGCTCAAGTTAAAGAGATACAGGAATCATAGTGAAATAATAGAATATACATTTTTATCAATCTTGACAATGTAAAATAATAAATACTAAAATTGTATATGTAGGGCAATATGAAACAGGAGACAGTATTAGATACATTATTTTAAAATATAAAGGTAATCAATAAACTAATTTAAAAGACTACATATACCTTCCAAATCAACCAAAGTAAGACACACACACACACACACACACACACTTACTTTAGAGAATAAGAAAGAAAATATGTAGTGAATATGTAGTGAAAAATAAGATGACAAAAACATTATTAAGATATATAATCAATGAAGAGTTAATATCCAGAATCATAAACAACTCCTACAACTCAACAACACAAAAATTGGATTAAAATTATTATTAACCCAATTCAAAAATGGGCAAAAGACTTGAATAATCAAACCACCAAAGAAGATATACAATGTCCAACAGGCATATTAAAAATAGTCACCATTGCTAATCATATGAGAAATGCAAATCACAGCCACATGAGATATTGCCTACACACATTAGGATGGCCACTATCAAATGAATAGGAAATAACAAATGCTGATGTGGATGTGGAGAAATTAGAATCCTTATGCACTGCTGTGTGGGAATGTCAAATGGTACAGTCACTACAGCCAATATAGAGGTTCTCAGAAAATTAATGATACAGTTGCCATATGATCTAAGAATCCCACTTCTGGAAATATATCCAAAAGAATTCAAAGCAAGATTTTAAAGAGATAGTTGCACACTCACATTCATTACAGCATTATTCACAATAGCAAGAGGTAGAAGCAACTCAAATGTCCATCAAAAGAAAAATAATAAGGAAAAGATGGTATACACATATAATAGAATATTATGCAGCCTTTAAAAAGGGCATCCTGTTACATACTACAACATAGATAAACCTCGAGGACATTATGCTAAGTGAAATAAGCCAGTCACATAAGCACAAATACTGTATGATTCCACTCATATAAAGTATTCAAAATCAGAAACAGGATGTGCAAAGGTGGTTGCCAAGGACTGGGAGGAAGAGGAAAAGGGAATTCGTGTTGAATGGGTATAGACTTTTAGTTTTACAAGATGGAAAACTACTAGAGATCTGTTGCACAACAGGATGAATATACTTAACACTGCTGAACTGTACATTTAAAAAGTGTTAAGATGGTGCACTTAATGTTATATGTTTTTATCACAATAACAAAGTTAAAGTACAAACCATTCAACTTATGCATATCAACATAAAAGTGCTAAATAAAATATTGGCCAGCATTATCTAACATCACATTTTAAAAATACATCATAACCAAATAGAGTTTATTACAGAAACACAAGAATAAATCAAAACTGATACATATCATATCAACAAATACAATCAGGAAAACTAGCCTATTAGTCAAAAAAAGACTCTTGGATTACAGATTCAATCAAGGTTAATAAAAAGTAGACAAAAACACAGGAGACAAATACAAGAAGAAAGTGAGGGTCACAATATGAATACCAGATAAAGCTGACTTTGGGGCAAAAATACAAAAATAAAGTATACTATTTCCAAAAAAAACAATGAATTAGTATAAACTTTTATACAACAAATAGTATTCATCAAAATATGCAATGCAAAATTAGTAGAGAATTCAAAAGGAAGAGAAAGATAATAGTAATAGAACCCTTAACTCCTTTTAGCTCATGACTGATCAAACAGAAAAAATATATAAGAAATTTGAAGTACACATAATTGAAATAATACAGTAAATCAAACTTCTTGGTAAAGATGGTAAAGCCAGCTTACAAAATCTTCCTTCTCCTAAACTAACAACAACAACAAAAAAGCAAGACAGGAAGAGAGGAAAGAAACAAAAGTAGTTAAAAACTGGCAAAAATACATTCAACAACAAAAACATACAATCTCATGCTATAATCGGTAATACTAGTGAGGCTCAGTAAGAGAGCCACAATATACAAATGTGCTCATTTCACCCTACTCACTGTGGCTCCTCACCCTATTACTACTTGTATAGTATTGGTGAAAGAAAATGAAAACATATAATAATGAAAGTAAAGGTCACTAATATACCTGAATTTTGTAAGAAGAGATTTGAGGACATAAATAGGCAATCCAGGAAAAAGATGCCTAGAAAATGCATAATGAGTGATCAGCAGGAAAAAACCACTTAAGTTTATATTTTGGTCTCTCTCGATTGGAGAAAGGAAGCACAACCACAACCATAAAGAATTAGTTATCCTTGCCAATAAACAGAACATACTAGACATAAAGTCAAAAGATAAACTTCTTAAACAGAAGATTCCTCTAAAAGAATACAAAGCACAAAAAGAGACTCACTAAGAGCACCAGGTAAATTTTATCTTTTTCTCTGGGCTCCTTTCATCACCCTGTAAGCAGAATATCCCAAATCATATTTATATCTTTTCACTCACAAAGCTGTGCAAGTGACATAACAAGAGCTTGAAGAGACGTAAAATGGCAAAAATAAATAACCACGGCTTATCCTATCAGATAGACACACAGGCCCCAGGGCTCTACACTGAGCTGGTAAAAAGATCTGAAGCCTGAGGGAAATACATAACAAGAAAACTACGAAACACTGGACTTAATCTGCACTATAGACCAAATGGATCTAATAGATATTTATAAATATTTCATCCAACAGTTGCAAAATAAACATTCTTCTCCTAAGCACATGAATCAGTCTTAAGGACAGACCATATGCTAGCCACAAAACAAGTCTTAAACATTCAAAAATGGAAATCACATCAAGTATCTTCTCTGACAACAATGAAATAAACCAGAAATCAATAACAAAGGGAATTTTGGAAACTATAAAATCACATGGAATTTAAACAATATGCTCCAGAATGACCAGTGGGTCAAAGAGGAGATTAAAATGGCAATCAAAAAATTTATTGAAACAAATAATTGGAATACAACAACAAAATCTAAAGGATACAGCAAATGCAGTACTAAGAGGGATGTATATAGCTATAAACACCTACATCAAAAAGGAAGAAAAACTTCAAATAACCTAATGATGCATCTTAAAGAACTAGAAAAGCATGAGCAAACCAAACCCAAAGTTAGTAGAAGAAACAATAAAGATCAGAGCAGAAATAAATGAAATTGAAGAAAATGATACAAAAGATCAACGAAACAAAAAGTTTACTTTTTTGAAAAGATAAACAGAATGACAAACCGTTAGCCAGGCAGACTAAGGAAAAAAAGAGAGAGGCCTCAAATAAATAAAATGAGAGAAGGAAAAGGAGACATTACAATCAATACCACAGAAATTCAAAGGATCGCTAGAGGTTACTATGAGGTAAATATATGCCAATAAATTTTAAAACCTAAAAATAAATAAATTCCTAGCCACATACAATCTACAAAGATTGAACCATGAAGAAATCCAAAACTTGAATAAATCAATAACATCTAGCAAGATTGAAGCTATAATAAAAAGTCTCCCAGCAAAGAAAAACCTAGGACCCAATGGCTTTACTGCAAAATTTTACCAAACATTTAAAGAAGAATTAATACCACCCCTGCTCAAACTATTCTGAAAAATAGAGGAGAGGGGGTTACTTCCAAACTCATTCTATGAGGCCAGTAGTACCCTTAAACCAAAACCAGACACAAAGACACATCAAAAAAAGAAAACTAAAGGCCCATATCCCGGATGAACATTGATGCAAAAATCCTCAAAAAATACGAGCAAACCAAATTCAACAACACATTGAAACATCATTCATCATGGCTGTGTGATTTATCCCATGGATGCAAGAATGATTCAACATACACAAATAAATCAGTGTGATATATCATATCAAACCATATGATCATTTCAATTGATGCTGAAAAAGCTTTTGATAAAATTTAACATCCCTTCATGATAAAAACCCTCAATAAAACTGGGTATAGAAGGAATGTATCTCAACATAATAAAAGCCGTATATGACAGACTCACAGCTAGTATCATACTGAATGGCGAAGTACTGAAAGCTGCTGGAGCAAGATCTCAGCCCTACACACTGGAGGTCTGGATATAAATTTGGCTCTGTTGGCTGTTGTGGGAGTACAGAGGGAGTGAAACTGGCCTTGCTGGCTGTGTGGGAGCTGGGTGAGGCCTGTCAATGCCAACTTTCCCCCTACTTCCCTGGCGAACTGTACAAAGCATCAGAGGGAGCCATAATCCCCCTTGGAACATAACTCCATTGGCCTGAGAACCACTACCCCACCCCTCACAGTGGCAGCAGCAAGCCCTGCCCAAGGAAAGTCTGAGCTCAGAAACGCCTAACCCTGCCCCCACCTGATGGTTTTTCTCTACCTGACGTAGTAACTGAAGACAAAAGACATAAATTCATGGGAGCTCTATGGCTCTGCCCATTACCTGAGAAACCTGAATACTTATCCAGGTGATGTTAGGCCAAGTTTGTATCCCTCCACACTACCATCGATGTTGCTCTCTTAAAGACAACACCATGTGGCTGGAAGCCAACCAACTCAAGGCATTACAGCAACTCATAACAGACCAACCCTACTCCAAGGAAGGGGAAAACAACATCTAATTCCACCGGCTGTAACACCCTGGCTAACCAGAGGTCCTGAACTTGTTCACATCACAACTTCACTGCCAGCATAACCAGCATTTGAGAAAACCAGCATACTAAACAAAACTACAACCAAGGACTCTCATAGAGTCTGCTTCACTGCCCTGCCACCTCCACTGGAGAAGGTGCTGGTAGCCACGGCTGAGAGACCTGAAGATGAATCACATCATAGTACTCTTCACAGACACTCCCCACTACCAGCCTAAAGCCTGATAGCTCCACTGGGTAGCTAGACCCAGAAGAGCAATAACAATCACTGCAGTCATGCTCTCAGGAAGCCCCATCCCTAGGGGAAGAGGGAGAGCACCACATCAAGGGATCACCCCATGGGACAAAAGAATCTGAACAGCAGCCCTTGAGTCCCAGATCTTTCCTCTGACATAGTCTATCCAAACTAGAAAAAAAAAAAACAATTCTGGTAATATGACAAAACAAGGTTCTATAACACCATCAAAAGATCACACTAGCTCACCAGCAATGGATCAAAACCAAGGAGAAATCTCTGAATTGCCAGAAAAAGAATTCAGAAGGTCGATTATTAAGCTACTCAAGGAGGCACCAGAGAAAGGTGAAAACAAACTTAAAGAAACTTAAAAAATAATACAGGATATGATTGAAAAAAAATCTCTGAAGAAACAGATATCATAAAAAAAAATCACAGCTTCTGGAAATGAAAGACATGCTTACAGAAATGCAAAATACACTGGAAAATTTCAACAATAGAACCGAACAAGTAAAGGAAAAGACTTTAGAGCTCAAAGACAAGGCTTTCAAATTAATCCAATCCAACAAAGACAAAGAAAATATGGGGACAGGGGGCTGGCAAGATGGTCAAATAGAACAGATCTGGTCTGCAGCTCCCAGTGAGACCAATGCAGAAGGTGGGTGATTTCTGCATTTCCAACTGAGATACCCAGTTCATCTCATTGGGACTGGTTAGACAGTGGGTGCAGCCCACAGAGGGCGAGCAGAAGCAGGGGTGGGTGTTGCCTCACCTGGGAAGTGCAAGGGACCGGGGAACTCCATCTACTAGCCAAGGGAAGCCATGAGGAACTGTGCCATGAGGGATGGTGCTACCTGGCCCAGATACTATGTTTTTCTTATGGTTTCTGCAACCCACAGACCAGGAGATTCCATTGGGTGCCTACACAACCAGGGCCCTGGGTTTCAAGCACAAAACTGGGTGGGTGTTTGGGAAGACACCTAGCTAGCTGAAGGTGTTTGTTTTTGTACCCCAGTTGCACATGAAACTCCAATGAGACAGAACTGTTCGCTCCCCTGGAAAAGGGGCTGAAGCCTGGGAGCCGAGTAGTCTTGCTCAGTAGATCCCATCCCCATGGAGCCCAACAAGCTAAGATCCACTGGCTTCAAATTCTCACTGCCAAAACAGCAGTCTAAAGTCAACCTGGGATGCTTGAGCTTGTTGGGGGAGGTGGAGGGGAGTCCACCATTACTGAGGCTTCAGTAGGCGGTTTTCCCTTCACAGTGTAAACAAAGCCACAGGGAAGTTCGAACTAAGCAGAGCCCACCACAGCATGGCAAAGCCACTGTAGCCAGACCACCTCTCTAGTTTCCTCCTCTCTGGGCAGGGCATCTCTGAGAGAAATGCCCTGGAACAAAGCACCTGGGGGAAGGGGCACCTGTGGGTGCAGCTTCAGCAGACTTAAATGTTCCTGCCTGCCAGCTCTGAAGAGAGCAGAGGATCTCCCAGCACAGTGCTCGAGTTCTGCTAAGGGACAGACTGCCTCCTCAAGTGGGTCCCTGACCCACGTGCCTCCTGTTTGGGAGACACCTCCCAGCAGGGGCCAACATACACCTCATATAGGAAGACTCCAGCTGGTATCTGGCGAGTGCCCCTCTGGGATGAAGCTTCCAGAGGAAGGAGCAGGCAGCAATATTTGCTGTTCTGCAGCCTCCGCTGGTGATACCCAGGAAAACAGGGTCTGGAGTACACCCCCAGCAAACTCCAGCAGACCTACAGAAGAGGACCCTGACTATTAGAAGTAAAACTAACAAACAGAAAGCAGTATCATCAACATCAACTAAAAGGATGCCCACGCAAAAACCCCAACTGAAGGTCTCCAACATCAAAGACCAAAAGTAGATAAATCCATGAAGATGAGGAAAAACCAGTGCAAAAAGGCTGAAAATTCCAAAAACCAGAATGCCTCTTCTCCTCCAAAGGATCACAACTCCTTGCCAGCAAGGAAACAAAACTGGATGGAGACTGAGTTTGATGAATTGACAGAAGTAGGCTTCAGAAGGTAGGTAATAACAACCTCCTCCAAGCTAAAAAAGCATGTTCTAACCCAATGCAAAGAAGCTAAGAACCTTGATAAAAGGTTACAGGAAGTGCTAACTAGAATAACCAGTTTAGAGAACAGAAAAGACCTGATGGAGCTGAAAAACACAGCATGAGAACTTCGTGAAACATACACAAGTATCAATAGCTGAATCAACCAAGAGGAAGAAACGATATCAGAGACTGAAGATCAACTTAATGAAATAAAGTGTGAAGACAAGATTAGAGAAAACAGAATGAAAGGAATGAACAAAGCCTCCAAGAAATATGGGACTATGTGAAAAGACCAAACCAACATTTGATTGGTGTACCTGAAAGTGACAGGGAGAATGGAACCAAGTTGGAAAACACACTTCAGGATATTATCCAGGAGAAATTCCCCAATCTAGCAAGACAGGCCAACATTCAAATTCAGGAAATACAGAGAACACCACAAAGATACTCCTAGAGAAGAACAACCCCAAGACACATAATTGTCAGATTCACCAAGGTTGAAATGAAGGAAAAAATCTTAAGGGCAGCCAGAGAGAAAGGTCGGGTTACCCACAAAGGGAAGCCCATCAGATTAACAGTGGCTCTCTCTGCAGAAACCCTACAAGCCAGAAGAGAGTAGGGGCCAATATTCAACATTCTTAAAGAAAAGAATTTTCAACCCAGAATTTCATATCCAGCCAAACTAACCTTAAAGTGAAGGAAAATAAAATCCTTTACAGACAAGCAATGCTAAGGGATTTTGTCACCACCAGGCCTGCCTTACAAGAGCTCCTGAAGGAAGCACTAAATATGGAAAGGAAAAACTGGTACCAGCCACTGCAAAAACATACCAAAATGTAAAGACCATCAACACTATGAAGAAACTGCATCAACTAATGGGCAAAATAACCAGCTAGCATCATAATGACAGGACCAAATTCACACACAACAATATTAACCTTAAATGTAAACAAGCTAAATGCCCCAATTAAAAGACACAGACTGGCACAGTGGATGAAGAGTCAAGACCCATCGGTGTGCTGTATTCAGGAGACCCATCTCACGTGCAAAGACACACATAGACTCAAAATAAAGGGATGGAGGAATATTTACCAAGCAAATGGAAAGCAAACAAACAAACAAAAAGCAGAGATTGCAATCCTAGTCTCTGATAAAACAGACTTTAAACCAACAAAGATCAAAAAAGACAAAGAAGGGCATTACATAATGGTAAAGGGATCAATGCAACAAGAAGAGCTAACTATCCTAAATACATGCACCCAATATAAGAGCACCCAGATTCATAAAGCAAGTTTTAAGAGACCTACAAAGAGACTTAGACTCCCACACAGTAATAGTAGGAAACTTTAACACTCCACTGTCAATATTAGATAGAAGAATGAGACAGAAAATTAACAAGGATATTCACGACTTGAACTCAGCTCCGGACCAAACAGACCTAATAGACATCTACAGAACTCTCCACCCCAAAGCAACAGAATATACATTCTTCTCAGCACCGCATAGCACTTATTCTAAAATTGAACACATAATTGGAAATAAAACACCCTCAGCAAATGCAAAAGAACGGAAATCATTACAAACAGTCTCTCAGACCACAGTGCAAGGAAATTAGAACTCAGGATTAAGAAACTCACTCAAGGCCGAGTGCAGTGGCTCACGCCTGTAATCCCAGCACTTTGGGAGGCCGAGGAAGGCCAATCACCTGAGGTCAGAAGTTCAACAACAGCCTAGCCAACATGGTGAAACCCTGTCTCTACAAAAAGTACAAAAATTAGCCAGGTATGCTGGCACATGCCTGTAGTCCCGGCTACTTGGGAGGCTGAGACAGGAGAATCGCTTGAACCCAGGAGGCAGAGGTTGCAGTGAGTCAAGATGGCGCCACTGCACTCCAGCCTCAGTGGCAGAGCGAGACTCCATCTAAAAAAAAAAAAAAGAAAGAAAGAAAAAAGAAAACAGGAATTCACTCAAAACCACACAACTACATGAAAACTAAACAACCTGCTCCTGAATGACTACTGGGTAAGTAACAAAATTAAGGTGGAACTAAATAAGTTCTTTAAAACCATTGAGAACAAACACACAACGTACCAGAATCTCTGGGACACAGCTAAAGCAGTGTTTATAGGGAAATTTGTAGCACTAAATGCCCACATCAGAAAGTGGGAAAGATCCAAAACCAATACCCTAACATCACAATTAAAAGAACTAGAGAAGAAAAAACAAACAGATTCAAAAGCTGGCAGAAGACAAGAAATAATTAAGATCAGAGCAGAACTGAAGGACATCGAGACATGAAAAACCCTTCAAAAAAATCAACGAATCTAGGAGCTGGTTTTTTGAAAAGATTAACAAAATAGATAGACTGCTAGCCAGACTAATAAAGAGGAAAAGAGAGAAAAATCAAATAGACACAATAAAAAATGATAAAGGGGATATCACCACTGATCCCACAGAAACAGAAACTACCATCAGAGAATACTATAAACACCTCTACACAAATAAACTAGAAAATCTAGAAGAAATGAATAAATTCCTGGACACATACACCCTCCCAAGACCAAACCAGGGAGAAGTCAAATCCCTGAATAGACCAATAACAAGCTCTGAAATTGAGGCAGTAATTAATAGCCTACCAACCAAAAAAAGCCCAGGACCAGATGGGTTCACAGCCAAATTCTACCAGAGGTACAAAGAGGAGCCGGTACCATTCCTTCTGAAACTATTCCAAAAAGAAAAAGAGGGACTCCTGCCTAACTCAGTTTATGAGGCCAGCATCATCCTTATACCAAAACCTGGCAGAGACACAACAAAAAAGGAAAATTTCAGGCCAATATCCCTGATGAACATCGATGTGATAATCCTCAATAAAATACTGGCAAACCTAATCCAGCAGCACATCAAAAAGCTTATCCACCGCGATCAATTCCTGGGATGCAACGCTGGTTCAACATATGCAAATCAATAAACATAATCCATCACATAAACAGAACCATGTAAAAGCCACATGATTATCTCAATAGATGCAGAAAAGGCCTTCGATAAAATTCAACACCCCTTCATGCTAAAAACACTCAATAAACTAGGTATTGATGGAACATATCTCAAAATAATAAGAGCTAATTATGACAAACTCATAGCCAATATCATACTGAATAGGCCAAACCTGGAAGTATTCCCTTTGAAAACCAGCACAAGACAAGGATGCCCTCTCTCACCACTCCTATTCAACATAGTATGGGAAGTTCTGGCCAGGGAAATCAGGTAAGAGAAACAAATAAAGGGCATTCAAATAGGAAGAGAGCAAGTCAAATTGTCTCTGTTTGCAGAAGACATGATTGTATATTTAGAAAACCCTATCATCTCAGCCCAAAAACTCCTTAAGCTGATAAGCAACTTCAGCAAACTCAGGATACAAAATCAATGTACAAAAATCACAAGCATTCTTATACACCAATAACAGACAAACAGCCAAATCATGAGTGAACTCCCATTCACAATTGCTACAAAGAGAATAAAATACCTACGAATACAACTTACAAGGGATGTGAAGGACCTCTTCAAGGAGAACGACAAACCACTGCTCAAGGAAATAAGAGAGGACACAAACAAATGGAAAAACATTCCATGCTCATGGATAGGAAGAATCAATACCATGAAAATGGCCATGCTGCCCAAAGTAATTTACAGATTCAATGCTATCCCCATCAAGCTACCATTGACTTTCTTCATAGAATTAGAAAAAACTACTTTAAATTTCATATGGAACAAAAAAGAGCCCATATATCCAAGACAATCCTAAGCCAAAAGAACAAAGCTGGAGGCATCATGCTACGTGACTTCAAACTATACTACAAGGCTCAGTAACCAAAACAGCATGGTACTGGTACCAAAACAGGATGGAACAGAACAGAGCCCTCAGAAATAACACCACACATCTACAACCATCTGATCTTTGACAAACATGACAAAAACAAGAAATGGGGAAAGGATTCCCTATTTAATAAATGGTATTGGGAAAACTGGCTAGCCATATGCAGAAAACTGAAACTGGACCCCTTCCTTACATCTTATACAAAAATTAACTCAAGATGGATTAAAGACTTAAACTTAAGACCTAAACCCATTAAAAACCCTAGAAAAAAAACCTAGGCAATACCATTCAGGACATAGGCATGGGCAAAGACTTCATAACTAAAACACCAAAAACAATTGCAACAAAAGCCAAAATAGACAAATGGGATCTAATTAAATGAAAGAGCTTCTGCACAGCCAAAGAAACTATCATCAGAGTGAACAGGCAACCTACAGAATGGGAGAAAATTTTTGCAATCTATCCATCTGACAAAAGACTAGTATCCAGAATCTACAAGGAACTTAAACAAATTTACAAGAAAATAACAAACAACCCCATCAAAAAGTGGGCAAAGGATATGAAGAGACACTTCTCAAAAGAAGACATTTTTGCAGCCAACAAACATGAAAAAAAAGCTCATCATCACTGATCATTAGAGAAATGCAAATCAAAACCACAAGAAGATATCATCTCACACGAGTTAGAATGGCAATCATTAAAAAGTCAGGAAACAACAGATGCTGGAGAGGATGTGGAGAAATAGGAATGCTTTTACACAGTTGGTGGGAGTGTAAATTAGTTCAACCATTGTGGAAGACAGTGTGGTGATTCCTCAAGGATCTAGAACCAGAAATACCATTTGACCCAGCAATCCCATTACTGGGTATATACCCAAAGGATTATAAATCATTCTACTATAAAGACACATGCACACATATGTTTGCTGCAGCATTATTCACAATAGCAAAGACTTGGAACCAACCCAAATGCCCATCAATGATAGACTGGATAAAGAAAATGTGGCACATATACACCATGAAATACTATGCAGCCATAAAAAAGAATTAGTTCATGTCCTTTACAGGGACATGGATGAAGCTGGAAACCATCATTCTCAGCAAACTAACACAGAAACAGAAAACCAAACACCACATGTTCTCACTTGTAAGTGGAAGCTGGACAATGAGAACATACAGGCACAGGGATGGGAACATCACACATTGGGGTCTGTCAGGGGTTGGGGGCAAGGGGAGGGACAGCATTAGAAGAAATACCTAATGTAGATGATAGATTGGTGAGTGCAGCAAACCACCATGGCACATGTATACCTATGTAACAAACTTGCATGTTCTGCACACGTATCCCAGAATTTAAAGTATAATAAAAAAGAAAAAATACTTTTAAAAAAATGAACAAAGCCTCCAAGAAGCTTGGGATTATGTTAAACAAACCAACCTAAGAAAATTTGTGTTCCTCAGGAAGAAGAGAAATCTAAGACTTTGGAAAATTTATTTGAGGGAGTAATCAAGGAAAACTTCCCTGACCTTGCTAGAGATCTAGACATCCAAATACAAGAGGCTCAAAGAATACCCAGGAAATTCATCGCAAAAGATCGTAATCTAGGCACATAGTCATCAAATTGTCTAAAGTCAAGATGAAGGAAAGAATCTTAAGAGCTGTGAGGCAAAAGCATCAAGCTAACCTATAAAGGAAAACCTATTGGATTAACAGCAGACTTCTCAGCAGAAACCTTACAAGCTAGTAGGGACTGGGGTCTTATCTTTAGGCTCCTTAAACAAAATAATTATCAGCCAAGAATTTTGTATCCAGTGTAACTAAGCTTCAAAAATGAAGAAAAGATAAAGTCTTTTTCAGACAAACAAATGCTGAGAGAATTCGCCACTACCAAGTTAGCACTACAATAACTGCTAAAAGGAGCTCTACATCTTGAAACAAAACCTAAAAATACACCAAAATAGAATTTCCTTAAAGCATAAATCTTACAAAGCCTATAAAACAATAACACAATGAAAAAAAATCAAGGTATTCAGGCAACAAATAGCACAATGAATGGAAGAGTACCTCACATCTCAATACTAATGTTGAATGTAAATGGCCTAAATGCTCCACTTAAAAGATACAGAATGGCAGAATATATAAGAATTCACCAACCCAAGTATGTGCTGTCTTTAAGGGACTCACCTAACATAACACATACAGACTCACATAAACTTAAGGTAAAGGGGTGGAAAAAGATATTCCATGCAAATGGACACCAAAAGCAGGCAAGAATAGTTATTCTTACATCAGACAAAACAGACTTTAAAGCAACAACAGTTTAAAAAGACAAAAAGAGACATTACATAATGATAAAAGGACTTGTTTAACAGGAAAATATCACAGACCTAAAAATATATGCACCTAACACTGGTTCTCCCAAATGTATAAAACAATGACTACCAGACCTTAAAAATGAGATAGACATGTTGGGTGCAGTGGCTCACACCTATAATCCCAGCACTTTGGGAGGCTGAGGCGGGCTGGATCACCTGAGGTCAGGAGTTCGAGACCAGCCTGGCCAACACAGCGAAACCCTGTCTCTACTAAAAAAATACAAAAATTAGCTGGGTGTTGTGCCGGCTGCCTGTAATCTCAGCTACTCTACTCAGGCGGCTGATGCAGGAGAATCACTTGAACCTGGGAGGCGAAGGTTTTAGTGAGCCGAAATTGTGTCACTGCACTCCAGCCTGGGCAAAAAGGTAAGACTCCATCTCAAAAAAAAAAAAAAAAAAAGATAGATGGCAACACAAATAATAGTGGGGGACTTCAATACTTCACTGGCAGCACTAGACAGGTCATCAAGACAGAAAATCAACAAAGAAAAAATGGACTTAATCTATACCCTGGAACAGATGCACTTAACAGGTATTTACAGAACATTCTACCTAACAACTGCAGAATATACATTCTATTCATCACCACATGTAACATTCTCCAAGACAGACCATATGAAAGGCCACAAAACAGGTCTCAATGAATTAAGAACATCGAAATTATATCAAGTACTCTCTCAGACCACAGTGGAATAAAATTGGAAATCAACTCCAAAAGGAACTCTCAAAATCAGGCAAATACGTGAAAATTAAATAATCTTCTCCTGAATGGTCTCTGGGTCAACAGTGAAATCAAGATGGAAATTCTTAAATTCTTTCAACTAAACGATAATAGTGACACAGCCTATCAATGCCTCTGAGATACAGCAAAAGCAGTGCTAAGAGGAAAGTTCATAGCATTAAATGCCTACATCAAAAAGTCTGAAAGAGCACAAATAGACAATCTAAGGTCACATCTCAAGGAGCTAGAGGAACAAGAACAAACCAAACCCAAATTCAGCAGAAGAAAAGAAATTACAAAGATCAGAGCATAACTAAATGAAATTGAAACAAAAAATACAAAAGATAAATGAAACAAAAAGCTAGTTCTTTGAAAACATAAACAAAATTGATAGACCATTTGTGAGATTAACCAAGAAAAGAGAAGATTCAAATAAGCTCAATCAGAAATGAAACAGGAGATATTACAACTGATACCAGAGAAATAAAAAAGATCAAGGCTACTATGAACACCTTAACATGCACAAACTAGAAAACCTAGAAGAGATGGATAAATTCCTGGAAATATACAACCCTCCTAGATTAAACCAGGAAGCAAGAGAAACTCTGAACAGACCAATAACAAGCAGCAAGACTGAAATGGTAATTTTTAAAAACTGCCAATAAAAGAAGTTCAGGACCAGATGGATTCACAGTTGAATTCTGTCAGACATTCAAAGAATTGGCACCAATCCTACTGAAACTATTCCAAAAGATAGAGTAAGAGAAAATCCCCCCTAAATCATTCTATGAAGCCAGTATCACCCTAATACCAAAACCAGGAGAGGACAAAACGAAAAAAGAAAATTACAGACAAATATCCCTGATGAACATAGATGCACAAATCCTCAACAAAATACTAGCTAACCGAGTCTAACAGCATATCAAAAAGATAATACATTTCTCAAAAGAAGATATACCAATGGCAAACAGGTATATGAAAACGTACTCAACATTACTGATCATCAGAGAAATGCAAATCAAAACTACAATGAGATATCATCTTACCCCAGTTAAAATGGCTTTTATCCAAAAGTCAGGCAATAACAAATGCTGACGAGGACGTGGAGAAAAGGGAACCCTCATACACTGCTGGTGGGAATGTAAATTAGTACAACCACTGTGGAGGTTCCTCAAAAAACTAAAAATAGGCTGGGCGTGGTGGCTCACGCCCGTAATCCCAGCACTTAGGGAGGCCAAGGCGAGTGGATCACCTGAGGTCAGGAGTTCGAGACAAGCCTGGCCAACATGGCAAAACCCCATCTCTACTAAAAATACAAAAATTAGCCAGGGGTGATGGTGCATGCCTGTGATCCCAGCTACTCGGGAGGCTGAGGCAGGAGAATCACTTGAACCCAGGAGGTGGAGGTTGCAGTGAGCCGAGATCACACCACTGCACTCCAGCATGGGCAACAGAGCAAGACTCCATCTCAAAAAAAAAAAAAAAAAAAAAACAAGCAAACTAAAAATAATCAGCTGCTATAGACTGTATGATCCAGCCATCCCACTGCTAGGTATATACCCAAAAGAAAAGAAATCCATTTACCTAAGAAATATCTGCACTCCCATGTTTACTGTAACACTGTTCACAATAGCCAAGATTTGGAAGCAACCCAAATGTCCATCACCTGATGACTGGGTAAAGAAAATGTGGTGCATACACACCCTGAACTACTATTCAGCCATAAAAAAGAATAAGATCCTGTGATTTGCAGCAGCATGGGTGGAACTGGAGGTCATTATGTTAAGTGAAATAAGCCAGGCACAGAAAGACAAACTTTCCATGTTCTCACTTGTCTGTGGGTACTAAAAATTATAGCCATTGAACTCATGGAGATAGAGAATAGAAGGATGATTATCAGAGGCTGGGAAGGGTAGTAGGGAGGAGGGGAGGGGGTGTGTGGGGAAAGGAGAATGGTTAATGGATATAAAAAATAGAAAGAATGAATAAGATATAGCATTTGATAGCACAATAGGGTGATTATGGCCAATAATTTAAGTGGACATTTTAAAATAACTAAAAGTATAATTGGATTGTTTGTAATACAAAGGATAAATGCTTGAGGTGATGGATACCTCATTCACTCTGATAAAATTATTACACAATGTATGCTTCTATCAAAATATCCCATACACCCCATAAATATACACACCTACAATGTACCCACAAAAATTAAAAATTAAAAGACAGAAAACTATAGCTCAATAGCTCTCATAAATGTAGATGCAAAAAATTCTCAACTCAAAATGCTAGCAAACCAAATCCAGCAAAATAAAATGGGGATTATATACCAAGACCAAGTAGAATTTCTGCCAAGAATGTAAAGTTGGTTTCACATCTGAAAATCAATTACTGTAATACATAATATTAATGGAATAAACGGAGAAACCCACATGATCACCTCAACAGACATGGAAAAAGCATTTCACAAATCTAACACCCTTTTATGGTAAAACAAAAGAGAACAAAACAACCTTTAAACTAATTAGGAATAGAAGAGAACTTTCTCAGTTTGATAAAGGGCATCTAGATACACTGAATTTCATCAAAATGAAAACTTTTGTGTTGCAAATGATACCAACAAGAAACTGAAAAAACAACCCACAGAATGAGAGAAAATATCTGCAAATAGTACATCATATAAAGAACATGTATCTGAAATAAAGAACTCTTTTTTTTTTTTTTTTGAGACGGAGTCTCACTCTGTTGCCCAGGCTGGAGTGCAGTGGCACAATCTCGGCTCACTGCAAGCTCCACCTCCCAGGTTCATGCCATTCTCCTGCCTCAGCCTCCCGAGTAGCTGGGACTACGGGCACCCACCACCATGCCCGGCTAATTTTTTTTTTTTTTTTTTTTTTTTAGTAGAGACAGGGTTTCACCGTGTTAGCCAGGATGGACTCAATCTCCTGACCTTGTGATCCGCCCGCCTCAGCCTCCCAAAGTGCTGGGATTACAGGCATGGGCCACCGCACCCGGCCTGAAATAAAGAACTTTTAAAACTGAATAATAAAAAGATAAATTACTAAATAATTTTTATTGATATATAATAGTTGTACATATTTTGGGAGTACATGTGATATTTTGATATCTGTATATGATACATAATAATCAAAATCAGAGTAATTAGGATATCTATCATCTCAAACATTTATCATTTCTTTGTGTTGGGAATATTCCAATTCTTCTCCTATAGCTATTTTGAAGTATTCAATATTTTGAAACCTACACTAGCCCTATTGTGCTACCAAACACTGGAACTTATATCTTTTATCTAATTGTATATTTGTACCCATTAATCAATCCCTCTTCATCCCTCCCTCCCCACTACCCTTCCCAGCCTCCAGTAACCACCGCTGTATTTACTACCTCCATGAGATAATTTTTTAAGCTCCCACATATGAGTGAGAATATTTAACAGCTGTTTTTCTGTGCCTAGCTTATTTCACATAACACAATATCCTCCAGCTCCATCCATGTAGTTGCAAATGACAAAGTTTCCTTCTTTTTTATGGCTGATTAATATTCCATTGCATATGGAATGTATACCACATTTTCTTTATCCAATCACTTGTTAATGAACACTTAGTTGATTCCATATTTTGGCAATTGTGAATAGTGCTACAGTAAACATGGGAATTTAGATCTCTCTTCAATATGCTGATTTCCTTTCTTTTGGATATATACTCAGTAATGGGATTGCTGGGTCATAAGGTAGCTCTATTTTTAGTTTTTTGAGGAACCTCTAGACTGTTTTCCATAATGGCTGTACCAATTTACACTCCCAGCAACAGTAAACAAGGGTTCCCTTTGTTCCACATCCTCATCAACACTTGCTATCTTTTGACTTTTAGCAACAGCCATCCTAATAGGTGTGAGGTTATATCTCATTGTGGTGGTGTTGATTTGTGTTTCCCTGATGATTAGTGATGTTGAGCATGTTTTCATATACCTGTTTCCATCTGTATGTCTTCTTTTGAGAAATGTTTTGTCCAATTTTTAATCAGATAATTTGGGGTTTTTTGCTATTGAATTGTTTGAGTTTCTTATATATTCTGGTTATTCATCTCTTGTTGGATGGATAGTTTCCAAACATGTTCTCCCATTCCAAGGGTTGATTTTTCTCACTTTGCTGTTTCCTTTGCTGTGCAGAGACTTTGTAGCTTGATATAATCCTGTTTTATCCATTTTTGCTTTCATTGCCTATGCTTTTTGAGGTCTCACTCAAATAATCTTTGACCGGACCAATGCCCTGTAGCATTTACCCAGTGTTTTCTTTCAGTAATTTCATAGTTTCAGGTCTTACATCTAAGTAAACTTAATGTTTACTTAAGGAGTTCAAGACCAGTTTAGGCAACATAGCAAGACCCCTGCAAAAAATTTAAAAATTAGCTGGGTGGGGTGGTGGTCACTTGTAGTCCCAGCTACTTAGTAGGCTGAGACCACAGGATCTCTTGAACCCAGGAGTTGGAGATTCCAGTGAGCTATGATTGTACCATTGCACTTCATCCTGGGCAAGAGAGAGAAACCCTGTTTCTACAAAAACAAACAAACAACAACAACAACAACAAAACCTGGCCATTTCTAATTCTTTGAGAGATCACACATTTCCATCAATTTAGGGTCAGTCTCTGGCACCTTATTTTGTCTGTTTGGTGAGGTTATATTTCCCTTAATGTTCTTGATGCTTGTGGATGTGTGACAATGTCTGCACACTGAGAGATTAAGTATTTAATTGTAGGCACAGTCTGCCTTTGTTTGTGGTTCTCAGTGATTCTAGTGATTCTAAGAAGTCTGGTTGTTGTGTTTCCTGAGCCTGTGACCACTGCAGCCATCTCAGCACTAGAGGATGCTCTAAGTCCACACTTGCCATGAGTCTTGCAAGGACTCCAAGGTTGACATGCCATTCCAGCCCAGATAAGCCTGGGAAAGATCCAAGGAGGGTACTAGAGCTGTATGGGAATGCTGACCAGGGACCTGAGTTCAGAAGATTGTCCGAGTGGCTGAGATGGACATGCCTCCCAGCAGGTCTCTGCATGGGCAAGATAGGATGTCAAGTGCAGCTTGAGGGGCTGGAGTTGACCATAGTTCCCCTCAGGATCTGCTGTGGGTTGGAGGCTGAAGAGCCTAATCTTGGTGGCTGAGAGAACACATGTCTCCTAGGAGAACCCTGCACAGACAATAGTTTCCTAAGTGTAGCAGGATGGACTGGAGCTGAGAATTAGCTCCCTCAGGATTATTGTGAGATAGAGGTTGGAATGCCTATCCCATTGGATTAGAGGAGTGTACATCTCTCAGCAGGGCCCTGCACAGACAGGATAGTTCCCTGATTGCAGCAGGAAGGACTAGACCTGTGACTGTCCCCCCACCACCCATCCAAGATCTGCTGGGGGACACAGGCTGGAGAGCCCATCTTGTTAGCCCAAACAGGTACACATCTCCCAGACAAGATAGATCTCAGAGACAGCACAAGGAAAGAGGTTGGTGATCCTATTCAGGATGGCTTAGACTCCTCAGCTGCGAGGTATGGGTGAGTCTCCCTCTGGGTCCTTGTGTTAGCAGCTCTCAGCTGGGACCTCAGATAAAGTGGGCTAGGGAAGTGCCACAAAACAACTATTATGTTCACTGCCAAAACCAATATCAGCAAGCAGACAAGCCTTTCTATCAAGGCACTAATAGTGTGATTCCCCCGGACTCTTTGGCAGATGGTTTTGATTGCAAGCTCAGGGACAAAGAGGGCTATAGCCAAGCCACTTAGAGGACTGGGCCATTCCTGGGCTTGAACCTGGGAGCAAACTCAGTAGGTCAGCCACCTGTAACCTACTGTCAGTCTGCACTCTCAAAATGACCCTCCAAGTGCTGTCAGTCTGCACTCTCAAAATGACCCTCCAAGGTCTTTGGTTCCATGAGGGTTTCAGAGACTCCCTCTTGAGTCCTGAGGCTCCCAAAGTGAGATTTTGACTGGATAGGTGCAGAATTCTTGTTGTTTTGAGGAGATAAGAGTGGGTTAATGGTGACCCTGAAACAGCCTAATTAACCATTACAGAAATTGAATTTATTGTTTAAAAGTCCTTTTCAGAAATCTACAAGCCTGGATAGTTTCACTGGAGAAGGCTACCAGTCTACCAAACAGAAAGAAAAATTAACACCAATTTTATACAATCTCTTCCCGAAAACAGAAGCAAGGAAAACACTTCCAGACTCATGATATCATAACCAGACAAGATAGTATAGAGAAGAAAACTACAGACCAATATTTCTCATGAACTTATATTTTAAATCCTCAACAAAAAATTAGCAGATTAAATCTAGCAAGTGCCCTCTCTCTCTCTCTCCCTGTTTCTCACTCTCCATATGTATATGTCATACACCAAATGGGATTTATTCTAGGGAATAGCATTCAAAAAATCAACCAAGGTAATCCACCATATCAACAAGATAAAAAGAAAAATAATATGATAATATCAATCAATGCAGAAAAAGCATCTGATAAAATCCAGTACCAATTCACGATTTTTAAAAACTCTAATTAAATTACTACAGGGAGATTACATCAACTTGATTTTTTAAATCTAGAAAAAATCTATAGCTAACATCATACTTATTGGTTAAAAAATTGAATGCTTTTCTCCCTACATTTATCAATACTGCAAGCATGTATGCTCTCGCCACTTATCAGTCTACCACATGGTACTGGAAGTTCTAGTCATTCACTGTAATAAGTCAAGAAAAAGAAATAAAGGCCAGGCGCGGTGGCTCATGCCTGTAATGCCAGCACTTTGGGAGGCCGAGGCAGGCGGATCGCGAGGTCAAGAGATTGAGGCCATCCTGGACAACATGGTGAAACTCCGTCTCTAGTACAAAGACAAAAATTAGCTGGGCATGGCGGCGTGTGCCTGTAGTCCCAGCTGCTCGGGAAGCTGAGGCAGGAGAATCTCTTGAACCCAGATGGTGGAGGTTGCAGTGAGCCGAGATCACGCCACTGCACTCCAGCCTGGTGACAGAGCAAGACTCCGTCTCAAAAATAAATAAATAAAAAATAAATAAATAAATAAATAAATAAATAAATAAAAAGCATACTGACTGGAAAGGATAAAATAAAATATAATTAATTATTATTGTATTTATTAATATTAGTGCTTCATCCTTTCCAATCATCCTGAAGATGACAAATGTCTGCACAGAAAATCACAAAGAATAAAAATAAGCATTGTAGAGCTAATAAATAAGTTTAGCATGGGCACAGGATACAAAATAAACACAAAAATCAATCATGTTTCTGTACACTAATGATAAGCATATAGGAAACAAAATTAAAAACACAATCTATTGCACTGCATGATGACCACCACTAATAATAAGATATTGCATATTTTAAAATTGCTAAAAGATTTTTAATGTTCTCACGTCAAAAAAATGATAAGTTGGCAAGGTCATAGACATGTTAATTAGTTTGATTGAATCTTCTATAACGTACACGTACGTATATCAACATGTCAGATTGCACCTCATAAATGTACACAATTACTATTTGTCAATTAAAAATTAATAAAAATAAGAACAAATGTCTATTTTTTTCAATTGCATGAAAGGAAATGAAATAGATATACATTTAACAAAACAGGTTTAGAGGCTATATAATGAAAATTATGAAATTCTTATGAAAGAAATCAAATATCTAATAAATGGAGAAAAATACCATGCTATAGATTTGAAAACTCAACAAAGTAAAGATGTCAATTTTCCTCAAACTGTGATCTATAGGTTTAATAAATTTTCTATCAAAATCCCAGCAAGGTTTTTGTAAAAATAAATTTATTCTAAAATATATGGAAAGTAACAGGTACTAAAACATCTAAAACAATCTTGACAGAGAAAAATAAAGTAGGAGAATCATTTTACTTGATATTAAGGCTTAGTATAAAGTAAGCATGGCAGTGATATTGGTGAAGAGACACATAGATCAATGGAACAGAATAAAGACCATAGAAATAGATCCATAAGAACATGCCTAACTAGTTTTTGACAAAAGTTTGAAAGTAATTCAATGGAGATAAAGCAGTCTTTTCAACAGCTGGTGACAGAGCAATCTGAGATCCATAGGCAAAAAACTGAACTTCACGCTTTATATAACAATTAACTCAAAATGGATCACAGATGTAAGTATAAAAAATAAAATTCTAAAGCTTTTACAAAAAGACACAGGCCAAAGTCTTTGGGATCTAGGGCTAGGGAAAGAGTTCTTAGACTTGGGATCAAAAGCACAATCCATAAAAGGAAAAACTGAGAAATTAAAATTTATCAAGATTAAAAACTTGTTCTGCAAAAAAACTGTTAGAATAAAAAGACAAGCTATAGACTGGGAGCATACACTGGCAAACCACATATCTGATGCTATGGTTTGAATGTTTGTACCCTCCAAAACTCATGTTGAAATTTGGTTGTCATTGTGGCATTGTTAGGAAGTAGGACATTTGGAAGGTGATAGGGCCATGAGGGCTCTGCCCTTATGGGTGGCAGGAATCCCATCATAAAAAGACATGTTTGGCCCTCTTGTTATTCTTTGCCTTTTTATCTTCCACCATATGAAGACAGGTCATTTCTCTCTCTGGAGGATGCCACAAAAGGCCCTCACCAGATGCTGGCACCTTGATCTTGAACTTCCCATTTTCCAGAACTGTGAGAAAAATACATTTCTGTTCTTTATAAATTACCCAGTCTCAAGTATTCTGTTATAGCAACACAAATGGAATAAGTCCTCTGACAGAGGACTAATAATTACATTATATAAAGAATTCTTAAAATTCAACAGGTAAAAACAAGTCTAATTAGAAAATTAGTTAAAAATAAAAACACAGATACAAATCTCATCTTGAATTGTAGTTCCCATTATCCCCACATGTTGTGGGAGAGTACCCAGTGGGAAGTAATTGAATCATGAGGTTGGTTACCCCCATGCTGCTGTTCTCGTGACAGTGAGTTCTCACAAGATCTAATGGTTTTATAAGGGGCTTTTCCCCCTTTGCTTGGCATTCATTATCCTTCCTGCTGCCATGTGAAGGACATGTTTGCTTCCCCTTCCACCATAATTGTAAGTTTCCTGAGGCCTCCCCAGCCCTGTGGAACTGTGAGTCAATTAAACCTCTTTTCTTTATAAATTACCCAGTCTCAGGTATGTCTTTATTGGCAGCATGAGAATAGACTAATACACTGTTCAACAGCAGAAAAACGCAAATTAGAACCACAATGAATTATGACTACAAACCTACAGGAATAACTAAAATAAAAAATAGCAAGTTGCTGCTGGTAAGGATGCAGAGAAACTGGATCATTTATACAGTGCTTATGGTAATGTAAAATGGTACCACCACTTTGGAAAATAGTTTGGCAGTTGCTTATGAAACTAATATGCAACTGCCATACAATTTAGCAATTGTATTCTTAGGTAGTTGTTTCAGAAAAATGAAAACAGGTTCACACCAAAACCTGTACACAGATGTTCATAACAGCTTTATTTATAATAGCTCAAAACTAGAAACAACTAGGTACCCTTGACTGGGCAAACTCTTAAACTGTGGTACCTCCATACCACAGAATACTACTTGGCAATAAAAACTAAAAAAAAGTATTTACATTTTTCTATCTGCTTTCCAACTTTCTATATACTCAGGTTGGACTAACAACTTGGATAAATCTCCAAGAAACAAAGCTGTAACAAAGGTTACATAGTGTATGAATCCATCTAGATAACATTCTCGAAATGGCAAAATTATAGAAATGGAGAACATGTTAGTGATTGCCAGGGGTGGGGGAGGGAGGTGGATGTGGCTATAAAAGGGCAATATGAGGAATCTTTATGGAGATGGAACTGTTCTGTATCTTAATTGTGTCAATGTCAAAATCCTGGTTGTGATATTGTCCTACAATTTGTAAGATGTGACCATGGGGGGAAACTTAATAAAGGATACATGGGATCTCTCTACATTATTTCTTACAACTGCATGTGAATCTACAATTATCTCAAAATAAAAAGCTTAATTAAAAGAAACTACACTGGCACCTACAACTTTCCTCCCTCTTCAAAATGTTTTTCAGTCTGTTTTCTTCACCCTAGAATCTCAGCCCTTTCAAGAACTATTAAATATTTTGTAAAGAAATATCTATCTTAAGTTTAATAATAATTCTGCAATTCCAATTTCAAATTATTTTTTCCGATAAATTCAAATATAATATGTATATTTTAGTTTAAAGTAGCTAATATGGCATTTTTTTCAAAGGTATTCTTTCTTTATCTTTCTTGATATGTGTAAGTGTATCTGACTATGGTTCTTTTTGTTTATGTTTTTGTTTTTTCATAAAGGAGCCATATGAAGTGATACACGCCCAAAATAGATAAAAGTTATTCTGGGATGTAAGCTCTAGAATTCCATCAACATTTTCCTTTACATTTGTATGTATTACTTACATTCTTAAAATGTGTATAAAAGTGTAATTTAGGCCGGGCGTGGTGGCTCACGCCTGTAATCCCAGCACTTTGGGGGGCTGAGGCGGGCGGATCACAAGGTCAGGAGATTGAGACCATCCTGGCTAACACAGTGAAACCCCATCTCTACTAAAAATACAAAAAATTATCCAGGCGTGGTGGCAGACACCTGTAGTCCCAGCTACTAGGGAGGCTGAGGCAGGAGAATGGCGTGAACCCGGGAGGTGGAGCTTGCAGTGAGCTGAGATTGCACCACTGCACTCCAGCCTGGGAGACAGAGTGAGACGTGAGACTCTGTCTCAAAAAAAAAAAAAGAGTGTAATTTAACATAATTATGTATATATGTATGTATAATTAGCATTCATCATTAGCTAGATAATCAGTCTATAGATTATAATTATACCTTCATTTTATGTCCTCATGTACATTCATAAATACTGACTATATTTTACAGCATAAAGAAAATGCTAAAGAAATTTCAAAAAAGTAACAATAGTATAGACAATGCAATAAAAGTGGACATTTTTTAAATAGAAGAAGAACACCTAAAGGTATTATCTCTATAACTGTTAGTCCAATCTCAGTATATAGAAAGTTGGAAAGCAGATGGAAAAACAGTAAACTCTGAGATATGGGTTTGTAGGCTATTTTTACCCTTTTTGTATTTTTCTGTATTAATATTTTATAAAATATAAACATAATGTGTTTTTATTAAACAATATAAATTTAGGTATACAATAAATCCTTATATCAATGAGCTTAGACTAAATTACACTGTAGTAACAACCCCAGATCTTAGTGGATTACAAGAGAAGTTTATTTCTCAACCACATTACATGTCAATTATAGACTGGTTTCTACCCTACTCCTTGTTATCTCCAGGAATCTAGGCTGAAGAAGCAACTTCTACGTCAGTCTCAAGGCCAAAAGAAAAGAGAGGCTGGGAAGACGATGTGGTGTCTCTTAAAGCATCCTCTCAGAAAAGCCACTTTTGCTCACATTCCATTGGGCAAAACAAAACCTTTGGCCAAATCTGAAGTCAGCGAGGTGGAAATACATAATTCTTCCTTTGGGAGGGACCCTAATAGAAAAGGGCAGCATACATTTTGAATAAAACAATCTATCACAAGCCCAAATTTTTTATATCTATCTATGTACAGGCATATTTGTGTGTGTGCATGTGTGCACATGTTTGTGTTTATATATTTTTTCATAGATGATCAGAAAGAAACACAATACGATGTAAATGGAGGTCCTAAATTATTTTTGATATGCAAATAAAAAAGAAGCCCTTAAATTTGTTAATAAGGAGTTCAGTGTGACCCAAGACAAGAAAGCAGTTAGGCCAATAGCTAAATTGTAATAGGTGAGGAGATAAGACCTGAAAAAACAGACTAATACTTAAGAAAAGAACAGAATAGTATAGCAGCTTAAGCAGTTTAATGGTTTAAGTTTTTATAAGATGATAGAAATGAGACAGTATAGGGAAGGGATTGAGCCCTGGTAGACCACAGACATAGTAATCAAGACCCCATGGGCCTCACATATCAAGGCATATTCTCTCCCCTACCTTCCTGTCTCCCTTAATAAGCTGACCCAAGTCACATAGCAGAAGGAGGGCCTCTCCTAACTTAGCTGACTAGGCTGAATTCTTAACTATCAAAAGAAGAAACTAATTGTTTATCTCCTTGAAGTAATGTCTCCCAAGGTTACTAAAAGTGGGACTCTAGCATTCCTGATAAGAACCTGACCATCTTTCAAGGTTAGTGAGGCTCTGGCATTCCCGATAAGAACTGGACCAGATCCAGTCTGCTGAAGACAAGACAGACTCCAACACTGACCTTTCACTGATTTTTTCCTCATTATAGTATCATTTTAATACTAAAATCTCCACCCAAGGCAGGGCTTATCCACCATTTTCTGATCATGCAATGTATGTCAGAGCATGATGCCCCATTGCGCAAACACAAAGAAAATTTCGCCTAAACATGCTTGTACATCATTTCATTTTCTGCCTCAGCTTCTAAAATGACAGGAGCTGAGCCTCAGGGAGCTAGCACGGAGATCCCTTTGCCGTAAACTGCTCCCTTGCTTTGATTGAGCCACAAGCCTATTAAACCTTCCCTGAGAAAAATGTCTCTTTGGCCTGGTGTTAATTTCTACTTATGTGAGAGCCAAAGAACTTGAGATACAAGCTACAGTAACAGAATTCTTATTCTTATTTATGTTTACTGACTAGAGTAAAAAGTAAAGATTGCTGAGGGTTTAATAGCATCAAGAGTTAAGCCACAGAAGAATTCCTCTTCTACTGAAACAGTAGGATAAAGGTAAGCATGAATCTTATTATTGCAGATGAAGGGAAAGCCATTTTGTTAGTCCTTTAATTGAAAATATAAAAATTTCAAAGCCCTGTACTCAGATAAAGGGAAAACAAAGATAAATAAGGCATAATTAGACCTTGCAGAGCTTGCAATATAACAGGGGGCACAGAGTGAAATAACCATTTTAACATTAAAAACAAAGTGCTATGAGAATACACACATATATAGTAAGCTCACAACTATAAGATGAAAGATGTGTGAGATTTTCCAAGATAGAAAAGGATGAAAGGAATTAAATGCAGGAAACAAAGTAAACAAATTCTCAGAGGCTTGAAATTGAAAGTGTATGTTACCTAAGCTGTTGCAGAGTGATTAAGAGAATAGGTTTGAAGCCATGCAAAAATAGACCTAGGTTTGAAATCTAGTCATTCTGCTCTCTTACTACGTAATCCTGAATAAATAATGTAACCTCTGTCAAAGTAAAGATAATAATAAATTGTGGGATATAACATTGCTGTAAAGATTAAATTAAATGTAAGTAGGGTACTAAACACAGTTCCCATCTCATAGAAACCAAAAAAAATAGTATTTGTCATTTATAGGGTGAATCAATTCACCTTGCAAACTGTAAAACACTACAGAGATAGCCTTTTTTTCTGAAACATGATGAATAGCTTCAAAAAAAGCATATCTAAATATATAAGCATTTTAATACGAGATAATATTACTCATATACAGTATATTTAAAAGTGTTCCAGGGGGTAGGGATAGCATTAGGAGATATACCTAACGTTAAACGACGAGTTAATGGGTGCAGCACACCAACATGTCACATGTATACATATGTAACAAACCTGCACGTTGTGCACATGTACCCTAAAACTTAAAGTATAATAAAAAAAAAGGAAACATGCTAGAAGGATATACATTAAAAATGTTAACAGTATTTGCAGAAAAAAAAGGGTTCCTTTTCTTTTTTTTTTTTTTTTTTTTTTTTTTTTTTTGAGACGGAGTCTCGCTCTGTCTCCCAGGCTAGAGTGCAGTGGCGCGATCTCGGCTGCTGCAAGCTCCGCCTCCCGGGTTCACGCCATTCTCCTGCCTCAGCCTCCCGAGTAGCTGGGACTACAGGCGCCCGCCACCGCACCCGGCTAATTTTTTGTATTTTTAGTAGAGACAGGGTTTCACCGTGTTAGCCAGGATGGTCTCGATCTCCTGACCTCATGATCCGCCCGCCTCGGCCTCCCAAAGTGCTGGGATTACAGACATGAGCCACAAAAGTGTTCTTTTCTTAAAAGTACACTTATATTTACGTGTGTTTTGCATTTACATTAGGAAATATTCTAAATGTTTCTAGAAAAAAGCTTCTGGGGGAAAATTATTTTCTCATCCCGTTATTAAAATTTATCAAATTATTTTATAATATGACATAATTCTAAAAATGCAAAGTTGCCCCTAAACCTTGTAATCATTTTATCTATAATGCCAAAAAACCTACCTTCTCTTCTCTTTCTATTTCAAGTTGCTTCTTAACAGACAAAAGTTCAGCTTTGAGATTGGATAGTTCAATCTCCTAAAGAAAAAGAAACATGAAGTTTAGAAGAGCTTCCATGTATTTCTCAAGACAATGAAAATATAAACTAGTGCTCTGAGTAAATTTAATATTGTAGAGAAATAAATTCACTCATAAAATGTAGATACTTTTAAAGTCAACTGATATAAAGGCTGCTAGCTTAACATAGCTAAAAACCTCATTTAAACAAGTTTTTGGGCTGGGTGCAGTGGCTCATGCCTGTAATCCCAGCACTTCCCTGGGAGGCAGAGGCAGGCATATCACTCGAGGTCAGGAGTTTGAGGAAAGCCTGGCCAACATGGTGAAACCCCGTCTCTACTAAAAATATTAATACAAAAATTAGCCGGGTGTGGTGATGCACACCTGTAGTCCCAGCTACTCAGGAGGCTGAGGCCAGAGAACTGCTTGAACCCGGGAGGTGGAGGTTGCAGTGAGCCAAGATCATGCCAGTGCACTCCAGCCTGGGGGACACAGAAAGACTCCAACTCAAAAAACAAAAACAAAACAAAACAAAACAAAATCAAGTTTTTTGTAGTTTTCTTTAAAGAAAACTTCAACACAAAGTATATCTCTCCTCGTTCTCTCCCAGTTTATCCCACCCTCCTCTCCCAATTTCAATCAGAGGTCCAAACTTATTTGTTTACTGGAGTTTATAAAATTTCACTTGAAAAAATAGTTTGTTCCACTATTTCAAAAACTAAATTAGAAAAAAACATGTAACTAGAAGATCTATAAGATCCCTTTCAGAGTTAAGACTCTGATTCTATAGCTCAAAAATTAGTTTTACTTAATATTATTCTTTACCACCAGTCACTGCTGACATTATGAAAACTGGCCGTTACTGCAATTTTTTCTGTATCTCACCAAAGATGCTCTCAGTGATGACTGTTCTTGTTCTTTGCTCTTATAAAGTCCTAATTCTGAGTCTCTTTCTTCAATGATCTTATCATATTGGTGCTATATTAAACAAAGAAGACATTTTAGATATATTAAAACTGAATAGATTATAAGATTGGTATCCTAACATATTTTAATATTTAATTTAGTATTTAATTAATTATTTAGTATTTAATTTTGCAGAAACTTATGTTTATAAATTCAGTAATATATATGGGTATATATTTTTAATGTTTCAATTATATTTTTTCATTCAAACAACCTCAATAGTGAAACACACAACAGTCTTGGAAATAACCAAAGAGCAAAAGATAATTCTTTTATCTTTGGAAACATTGAATTTTAACATTTAAAAATTTGCCAGAAACACCAGGGCTTCTACAAAACTGACTGATTTCAAATCTGGGACAGGAAATACAAGCCTTAAACTAGCATTAGGAGATATACCTAATGTAAATGATGAGTTAATGGGTGCAGCACACCAACATGGCACATGTATACATATGTGACAAACCTGCATGTTGTGCACATGTACCCTAGAACTTAAAGTATAATAAAAAAATTATTACATCAAAAAAAGAAGCCTTAAACATTTTGTCATAACTCAAAGAAAGTTATCAGAGAAAATTACAGTTAAGTCAAAAGGACTTGCCACACAGCTTAAAGAGGCTCCTGCTAGCCAAAGGTGGGAAAATGTGAGTTATCAATAAGGACAGATGCTGCACTGGATTGAAACATACCAAATGTGTTCAAATCTATGAGTTCACAATGTTATTTAAATTATTTTTTAAATCCTCACCACTTCCCTCATAATAATCTCGTATTCCAGCAGCTTTTTTTTTTAATTGAATAGGTAGGTATACCCTACCTCTTCTCCAAATCTTAAGGGGAATGAGGCTTAATTCCTTAACAAATGGATACTCTAAAACAACAATTAAAAATATAAGACAAAAACACATCAAACACTAAGTATTTCATCTATTTATTCCTTTGATAAAAATTGATTTAGCCTATTATATGTTAGATATCAATGAGATACTTATCCTGGTTATGTACTTAAAAATATATAAGGTAGAAAGTGCTATAAGAGACTATTAGCAGAATCCAGAAAAAGAGTGATTACTTCCATTCATCACAGATAACAAAGAGAGATTTCCTCAAGGATGTGACACACAGGCTCAACTTTGTATGGTTAAGATCTGAACTTGAAGAAATGGGCATCAAGGGTATTCTAGCTATAGACAGTCACTGTTGCATAGACAATAATCTTCTCTGACAAATAAGAATACTATCTTGATTTCACCATTATTTAACAGAAATATGGCTCCAATTAATAATTTTCATTATATAAGAAGAAAAAAATTACCTTATGTTTTTCCATAAGTGCTACCATTTCAGCTATTTTATGTTGACATCGCTTATCAATTTCTTTCTGTAATTTTACTGCTTCATCAGCTATTACTTTTGCTTTCTCAACCTATCAAATAAGCAAAAAAAAAAAGTTTCTTAAAATAAATGCACAAAAAACAAACAAGTGTAAAAAGTATATGTTCTACTTAAATAAAAGCAAACCTCAAACACCAGGAAACTGGAAAAACAAGTAGAAAATGCACTGTTTGGGGTTTTTTCGGGGTGTTTTATGAAGTAAGATGACACTATACCACTGTGGCAATCATTTAATCCTTTCAAAATAATTATATACTCAAATACTTAGAATAGCAAGGATACTTTTAGTTTCTATAAAAACTGATAAACTGACCCTTATATAAATTTACTAACCCTTTTCTAAAATTGTAATTTAATAGTTAAGATTTTTTTACTTTCCTCTTAAAATCCTAATAAAAATATAGATTTTTAGTATAATAAGTTCTTAATACATTAAGTTTTTCCCACCTCTTCCAAAAGATTTTCTTCTGATATCTTTTTGTCCTCAATTTCTTTCTGATAGGTGTCTGTGATTTCTCCAAATTTCTGTTTGGCACTTTCTAGTTCTAACTCTAATTTATTGACCTTTAAGTAAAGAAAAATAGCATGAATATTAGTAAATGCTATGGATTACTTGAAAACATTCCATATTCATTTTGTGGTTTTGTGAATCTTAGAAGATTACTTATTCATGGAAATTAGGTTGGATCACTTTCCTTACATTTTCATATGGTGAGAAGTGTTTTGTTTTCAAAAAATCTATCTTCTCCCCTAAAATATGTATTTTTTCTTGACAAGTAATATAAAATAAACACCCATGCATTTATTTTTAATGAATTTCTCAACAATATTTACATTGGTTACTCTCACTCAGTTTAATACGCTTTATTAGAATAAGTATTTCCATTGTACAGAAAACTCATGTGATTCAAAGGCATATTCTTAATGAGATTAATTTTCTATAAAGAAGCAACAACTTCCATTTATATTATTTTCACATACTTTGTATAAATATTTACTGAGTTGTGTAGATATAATTCAAATATAGAAATTATTAAGAGGGAAGGAAAGCCCTGAATTAGCACCCTTCATATTCACTTTTATCTTAGGGCTAAATTAATACTGGCAAGGTGTTATACGGCAGGGACAGGAATTGGGAAGAGGGTTATGGGTAATATAATGATGAATCAGACTGTATTTTGTATCCATGAGTCAATCATCGACTTTAAAATATAGACCATTACCAATATTGATAAAAGCTATTAAATGCCCCTCCCTCTTCATTAGTTTTCCCCTACTGCCCTTTCGAGCATAAAAAACATTCTTAATTTATATTCCCTTACTCTTCTTTATAGATTCATTGCATAATTATGTGTCCCTAAACAATATTTCAAGATTTTTTTTGAACTTCATATAAATGTTTTCATAGTACATTATTTTTCTGGCTTGCTTTTCTCATTGAACAGTTATGTTTGAGGTATTTATGTGTAAAAATACAGTTCTTTCATTTTCACTGCTGAGTAGTGTTCTATTGTATGAATATAACACTGTTTATGTAATCAATTGTTCAGGGCACTGAGTTGTCTCCATTTTGGGACTGGTACACACACAATAGTGCTATGAATGTTCTTGTAAACACCTCCTGGTGCAAATGTAGAATTTCTCTATAGTATATACCTAGGATTGGAATTGCCGGGTCATAGGGCAGGTTACATATTCAACTTTAAAGATGACATTATTTTCCATATGCATTTATACCAATTTAAATTCTCAGCAACAAGGTTATGACTTTTCCTGCTTCACAACTTCACCAAGAGTTGATAGTGTCAGACAAAAGTATTTGACTGAAGTTTTGTTGTATAATTTGCACTTTCCAGAAAATTATGTAACATGTTTAACTCTTCATATTTTCTGTTCTGTGACCATCTCTGTTCATATATTTTACTCATTTATGTACTTGGTGCTTCATTTTCTTCTTAATTACATTTAATGGGTTCTAATCCTTTGTTCTTTATATATGTAAAGTTGGGATATTTCTCCAATTTTGAGGTTTGTTACTTTACTTTCCAAGTAACCAGAAATTATTTTAGTATATATGAATGTATCAATATTTTCAAATATGGTTGTGTTTTTTAATCTTATTTAGGAAATCTTTCTTTACTACCAGGTCACAAAGATATTGTCCCACATCTTCTTCAAATGTTTTGAAGCCCTGCCCTTCACATTTATTTATATCCTTAAGGAATTTGTGTTTGTATGTAGTGTAGAGGTAGACTTTCATATTTTTCCATATAGATAGTCAAATGTTCTAGCACTACATATCTGCAATATCACTTCTGTATTGTGTCTAGTTACCATGTACCCCTGTATCTTTTTCTAGGCTTCTCTTTTATTCAATTGACTTGACAACTTCTGTGCCAGTGTCATACTGTCTTAATTACCTTAGCTATACAATTAATCTTTATATCTGGTAGGGCACATTTTCCTACTTTGTTCTTAAAGATTGCTTTAGTTATTCTTGGCCTATATGATCATTTTTGTTAAATGTCCGAGTGTTCTTGAAAAGCATGTTTTCCTCACTTTTTAATATAAAATTATCCTTATTTCTCCAACATTCTTAAAAGATAGGTATGTTGCGGACAAAATTTAATGTTGACAGTAATCTTCTTAGCCCATGAAAATACTTTCTCACTGTTTTCTGACTTCTATTGTTGTTTGTTGAGATGTTCATGGCCAATATGTCATTTCTTCACTTTCATCTTTCATTTCTCTCCAGATACTTTTAATACTTTTATGTGTCCAATATTCTTTAGTTATACCAAGTCTAAATGTGGATTTCTTTTAATTTTTCTTGCTTGGTATAAATTTCTCTTTCTATATCTGTGAATTCAGGTCTTTCATCAATTCTAAATATTCTCAGTAGAGGTTGAGTATTCCTTTTCCAAAATGCTTGGGACCAAAAATATTTCAGATTTATCTAATGAGATATCCTAAGGATAGGACCTATGTCTAAACACAAAACTCATTTATATTTTGTATATACCTTACACATAGCCTGAAGGTAATTTAATACAATATTTTAATAATTTTGTTCATGAAAAAGTATGTGTTAAGTACTTGTGCATGGACTTCTCCACTTGTGGCATTATGTCTGTGCTATAAAGTTTTGGACTTGGGAGCATTTTAGATTTTGGATTTTCAGATTAGAAATACCCTGTAATTACTGCTTACCCCCAGTTCACTCTATTTTTTCTTTCTTCTTGGACAATACAAAACCCTTAGGAAAAAAAATCATCAAAGTACATGACAACAATAATAGTATACTAACATATAAGTAAGACATAAGAGATAAAGGAGATAATGTAGTCTAAGGCCAAATATACCAGTAAAAGAGACAAAGATTGTCAGAGTGCATAAAATTATAAACTCTGGCTACATGCTATTTATAAGAGTCATTTAAAACATAAAGATAGAGGATAAGAGTAAACAGATTTAAAAGATATAACAAGCAAACATGAAACAGAATAAAAAATGGTATAGTTATAATAATAACATAAAAACTTGCTCTAAGGCAAGTTTATCTCTACTAGAGATAAAGGAGGTATCTTGTTTTAACAACAATTTCCATTATATATAAACATGTAAAATACATATTAAGTATACAGTTGAACTTTGAACAACATGGGTTTGAACTGCATCCATTTATATGTGGATTTTTTTTCAACCAAATTTAAATGGACAATACAGTATCCACAGGATATGAAACTCACATATATGGAGGGCCAACTTCTAGTTTGCATGGGTTCCACAGGGCTGACTAGGGGATATGAGTATGCGCAGATTTTGGTATTCCTGGGGGGTTCTGGAACCAATCCCCCATGTATAAACCAAGGGAACAACTATACACATAAAGTTCTATCGTATGTAATAAAAAGTTGCACATATTCAAAATAATGTACACCCAATAATATGGCCTTGAAATAAAGACAAGTTAACAGAACTGAAATTAGAAAACAGAAATCCACAATCATTGTGTAAAGTTTTTAAACACATCTATCTCAGTCAACTACTTAATAAAACACAAATAAAAAAAAGCAGAGGTACAGAATGAAAAAAAGATACACAAATATAAAGAATATAACTGGTAATCTTTACATAAAGGAAACACCCAACAACTATACAATATACATTATTTTCATGTATGTAAGGGATGTTTACAAAAAGTGACCCCATATATTGGGCCATCAGGCAAATATCAATAAATTTCAAAGTACTAAAGTCATACCAGAGTGTGCTCTCTAGTAACAATTCAGTTATGCTAGAAATCAGTAACAAAAACACAACATGTCCCCTTAAATTTAGAAATTAAGAGATACAGGAGGGCATTGGGCTAAACAATACTAATTTACTATATATCAAAACCTATAGGACACAGATACAGCAATACTTAGTGGGAAATTTACAGCATTGAAATGTGTACATTAGAAAGACTGAAAATTAATGATCTAAGAACTCATCTTAAGATAGGTCTGGGCACAGTGGCTCACACCTGTAACCTCAGCACTTTGGGAGACTGACGTGGGCAGATCACTTGAGGCCAAGAGTTTGAGACCAGTCTGGCCAACATAATGAAACCCCTTCTCTACTAAAAATACAAAAATTAGCCGGCATGGAGGCACACGCCTGTAATCCCAACTACTCAGGAAGCTGAGGCATGAGAGTTGCTTGAACCCAGGAGGTAGAGGTTGCAGTGAGCCGAGATCACAGCCACTGCACTCCAGCGTGGGTGACAGAGGCAGACTCCATCTCAAAAAACAAAGGAAAAAGACTTCCCAAATTGACAAACTCCTGGTGACACTGATAAAGAAAAAAACAAAAGAAGGAACAAATAACCAACATCAGATTAAAAACAGGCTATTACTGTTTTTAACAGTAAATGCTACAGACAATTCTGAAACTGTAGAAAATGTAGATGAACTGGATGAAACCCAGAAAAATATTATTTATCAAACTTGAAGAAATAGGACAACCAAGTTATACTGTAACTATGATTAAATTGCTTCAGAAATTAAAAGCCTTTGCATAAACAGAACTCTAGGCCCAGTAGCTTTCGTCGATGAGTTCAACTTCAATGAGACATAATTTACATATAATAAAACGCATGGTTTTAAGTGTAAAGTTTAATAAGCTTTGACAAATTGTTTTTAAAACCATGTAATGGCAATACCAACCAAGACATAATTTCCATAATCCCAGAAAGTTCCCTCATATCCCTTAACAAACTAATAGTACCCCACTGAGGCAACCATTGTTCTTTCTGTCTCCATAAATTGGTTTTGTTGATTCAAAAACTTCATTTAAATGAAATCATGACAAACATACTCTCTTGTATATAGGTTATTCATTCAGCATATTACAAGATTCATCCATGTTCCTGTGACTATCAGTAGGTCTTTTTTACTTCTGAGTAGTATTCCATTATATGAATATACCAAATTTGTTTATCCAGTCTCTTCTTAATGAACATTTTATGTGTTTCCATTTTTTATCATTGTGGATAAAGCCACCATGAATATTCTTGTACAAGATTTTTAGTGGACATGTTTCCATTTATTTTAAGTAAATATCTAGGAAAATAATTGTTGGATCACACAGTAGATGCATGTTTAGTTTTAGAAGAAACCACCAAAACATTTTCCATACTGTATGGAATACTGTATGTAGAGGCCACATTTAGTCTACCCATTCATCTGTCAATGGACACATGGGTTGCTTCCAACTTTTGGCTATTGTGAATAATGTTGCTATGAACATAGGTGAACATATATCTCTTTGAGACTATGCTTTCAATTCTTTTAGGTATATATCTAGAAGTGAAATTAGTGGATCATATAGTTATTTTAGTTTTATTTTTTTGGGGAACCACAAAATTGTTCTCCACAGTGACTGTACCATCTGACATTCCCATCAACAGTGCTCGAGAATTCCAATTTCTCCACAACCTCATTAACATGTTATTTTCTGTTCTTTCATTAGTACCCATTCTAATGGGTATGAGGTAATATCTCATGAGATTTTGATTTGCAATGATTACTGATATTAAGCATATTTTCATTTTTATGTGCTTATTGGCCATTTGTGTATATTTGGAGAAATATCTATTCAAGTCCTTTGCCCATACTTTATTTTTTTTTCCAGGCCAAGATGAATTTATGGATGAATCCTACAAAGCTATTGAGGAAAAAATAATACCAGTTCTAAACAAATGGTTCCAGAATATTGAAGAGGAGGGTATAGTTTCCACTCATTCTTTTTTTTCCTTTATCAAATTTATTTATGTATTTACTTATTTATTTTTGATTTATTTATTTTTTTAATTATACTTTAAGTTCTAGGGTACATGTGCACAATGTGCAGGTTCGTTACATACATATACATGTGCCATGTTGGTGTGCTGTACCTGTTAACTCGTCATTTACATTAGGTATATCTCCTAATGCTATCCCTCCCCCCTCCCCCCATCCCACAACAGGCCCTGGTGTGTGATGTTCCCCACCCTGTGTCCAAGTGTTCTCATTGTTCAATTCACACCTATGAGTGAGAACATGAGGTGTTTGGTTTTTCTGTCCTGGCAATAGTTTGCTCAGAATGATGGTTTCCAGCTTCATCCATGTCCCTACAAAGGACATGAACTCGTCCTTTTTTATGGCTGCATAGTATTCCATGGTGTATATGTGCCACATTTTCTTAATCCAGTCTATCATTGATGGACATTTGGGTTGGTTCCAAGTCTTTGCTATTGTGAATAGTGCTGCAATAAACATACATGTGCATGTGCCTTTATAGCAGCATGATTTATAATCCTTTGGGTATATAACCAGTAATGGGATCTCTGGGTCAAATGGTATTTCTAGTTCTAGGTCCCTGAGGAATCACCACACTGTCTTCCACAATGGTTGAACTACTTTACAGTCCCACCAACAGTGTAAAAGTGTTCCTATTTCTCCACATCCTCTCCAGCACCTGTTGTTTCCTGACTTTTTAATGACTGCCACTCTAACTGGCATGAGATGGTATCTCATTGTGGTTTTGATTTGCATTTCTCTGATGGCCAGTGATGATGAGCATCTTTTCATGTGTCTGTTGGCTGCATAAATGTCTTCTTTTGAGAAGTGTCTGTTCATATCCTTCACCCACTTTTTGATGGGGTGGTTTGATTTTTTTCTTGTAAATTTGTTTAAGTTCTTTGTAGATTCTGGATATTAGCCATTTGTCAGATGGGTAGATTGTAAAAATTTTCTCCCATTCTGTAGGTTGCCTGTTCACTCTGATGGTAGTTTCTTTTGCTGTGCAGAAGCTCTTTAGTTTAATTAGATCCCATTTGTCAATTTTGGCTTTTGTTGCCATTGCTTTTGGTGTTTTAGTCATGAAGTCCTTGCCCATGCCTATGTCCTGAATGGTATCGCCTAGGTTTTCTTCTAGGGTTTTTATGATTTTAGGTCTAACATTTAAGTCTTTAATCCATCTTGAATTAATTTTTGTATAAGGTATAAGGAAGGGATCCAGTTTCAGCTTTCTACATATGGCTAGCCAGTTTTCCAAGCACCATTTATTAAATAGGGAATCCTTTCCCCATTTCTTGTTTTTGTCAGGTTTGTCAAAGATCAGATGGTTGTAGATGTGTGGTATTATTTCTGAGGGCTCTGTTCTGTTCCATTGGTCTATATCTCTGTTTTGGTACAAGTACCATGCTGTTTTGGTTACTGTAGCCTTGTAGTATAGTTTGAAGTCAGGTAGCATGATGCCTCCAGCTTTGTTCTTTTCGCTTAGAATTGTCTTGGCAATGCGGGCTCTTTTTTGGTTCCATATGAACTTTAAAGGAGTTTTTTCCAATTCTGTGAAGAAAGTGATTGGTAGCTTGATGGGGATGGCATTGAACCTATAAATTACCTTGGGCAGTATGGCCATTTTCATGATCTTGATTCTTCCTATCCATGAGCATGGAATGTTCTTCCATTTGCTGTGTCCTCTTTTATTTTGTTGAGCAGTGGTTTGTAGTTCTCCTTGAAGAGGTCCTTCGCATCCCTTGTAAGTTGGATTCCTAGGTATTTTATTCTCTTTGAAGCAATTGTGAATGGGAGTTCACTCATGATTTGGCTCTCCGTTATTGGTGTATAGGAATGCTTGTGATTTTTGCACATTGATTTTGTATTCTGAGACTTTGGGGAAGTTGCTTATCAGCTTAAGGAGATTTGGGGCTGAGACAATGGGGTTTTCTAAATATACAATCATGTCATCTGCAAACAGGGACAATTAGACTTCCTCTTTTCCTAATTGAATAGCCTTTATTTCTTTCTCCTGCCTGATTGCCCTGGCCAGAACTTCCAACACTATGTTGAATGGGAGTGGTGAGAGAGGGCATCCCTGTCTTGTGCCTGTTTTCAAAGGGAATGCTTCCAGTTTTTGCCCACTCAGTATGGTATTGGCTGTGGGTTTGTCATAAATAGCTCTTATTATTTTGAGATATGTTCCATCAATACCTAGTTTATTGAGTGTTTTTAGCATGAAGGGGTGTTGAATTTTGCCAAAGGCCTTTTCTGCATCTATTGAGATAATCATGCGATTTTTGTCTTTGGTTCTGTTTATGTGATGGATTACGTTTATTGATTTGCGTATGTTGAATCAGCCTTGCATCCCAGGGATGAAGCCAACTTGATTGTGGTGGATAAGCTTTGTGATGTGCTGCTGGATTTGGTTTGCCAGTATTTTATTGAGGATTTTTGCGTCAATGTTCATCAGGGATATTGGTCTAAAATTCTCTTTTTTTGTTGTGTCTCGGCCAGCCTTTGGTATCAGGATGATGCTGGCCTCATAAAATGAGTTAGGGAGGATTCCCTCTTTTTCTATCGATTGGAATAGTTTCAGAAGGAATGGTACCAGCTTCTGTTTGTACCTCTGGTAGAATTCGGCTGTGACTCCGTCTGGTCCTGGACTTATTTTGGTTGGTAGGCTACTAATTATTGCCTCAATTTCAGAACCTTTTTGGTCTACTCAGTGATTCAACTTCTTCCTGGTTTAGTCTTAGGAGGGTGTATGTATCCAGGAATTTGTCCATTTCTTCTAGATTTTCTACTTTATTTGCATAGAGGTGTTTATAGTATTCTCTGATGGTAGTTTGTATTTCTGTGGGATCACTGGTGATATCCCCTTTATCATTTTTTATTGCATCTATTTGATTCTTTTCTCTTTTCTTCTGTATTAGTCTTGCTAGCAGTCTGTCAATTTTGTTGATCTTTTCAAAAAACCAGCTCCTGGATTCATTGATTTTTTGGAAGGGTTTCTTGTGTCTCATCTTCAGTTCTGCTCTGATCTTAGTTATTTCTTGCCTTCTGCTAGCTTTTGAATGTGTTTGCTCTTGCTTCTCTAGTTCTTTTAATTGTGATGTTAGGGTGTCAATTTTAGATCTTTCCTGCTTTCTTTTGTGGGCATTTAGTGATACAAATTTCCCTCTACACACTGCTTTAAATGTGTCCCAGAGATTCTGGTATGTTGTGTCTTTCTTCTCATTGGTTTCAAAGAACATATTTATTTCTGCCTTCATTTCGTTATGTACCAGTAGTCATTCAGGAGCAGGTTGTTCAGTTTCCATGTAGTTGAGTGGTTTTGAGTGAGTTTCTTAATCCTGAGTTCTAGTTTGATTGCACTGTGGTCTGAGAGACAATTTGTTACAATTTCTGTTCTTTTACATTTGCTGAGGAGTGCTTTACTTCCAACTATGTGGTCAATTTTGGAATAGGTGTTGTGTGGTGCTGAAAATAATGTACATTCTGTTGATTTGGGGTGGAGAGTTCTGTAGATGTCTATTAGGTCGGCTTGGTGCAGAGCTGAGTTCAATTCCTGGATATCCTTGTTAACTTTCTGTCTCATTGATCTGTCTAATGTTGACAGTTGGGTGTTAAAGTCTCCCATTATTATTGTGTGGGAGTCTAAGTACCTTTCTAGGTCTCTAAGGACTTGCTTTATGAATCTGGGTGCTCCTGTATTGGGTACATATATATTTAGGATGGTTAGCTCTTCTTGTTGAATTGATCCTTTATCATTATGCTATGGTCTTCTTTGTCTCTTTTGATCTTTGTTGGTTTAAAGTCTGTTTTATCAGAGACTGGGATGGCAACCCCTGCTTTTTTTTGTTTTCCATTTGCTTGGTAGATCTTTCTCCACCCCTTTATTCTGATCCTGTGTGTCTCTGCACATGAGATGGGTCTCCTGAATACAGCACACTGATGGGTCTTGACTCTTTATCCAATTTGCCAGTCTGTATCTTTTAATTGGAGTATTTAGCCCATTTACATTTAAGGTTAATATTGTTATGTGTGAATTTGATCCTGTCATTATGATGTTAGCTGGTTATTTTGCTCGTTATTTGATGCAGTTTCTTCCTAGCATCGATGGTCTTTATAATTTGGCATGTTTTTGCAGTGGCTGGTACCGGTTGTTCTTTTCCATGTTTAGTGCTTCCTTCATGAGCTCTTGTAAGGCAGGCCTGGTGGTGACAAAATCTCTCAGCATTTGCTTGTCTGTAAAGGATTTTATTTCTCCTTCACTTATGAAGTTTAGTTTGGCTGGATATGAAATTCTGGGTTGAAAATTCTTTTCTTTAAGAATGTTGAATATTGGCCCCCACTCTCTTCTGGCTTGTAGAGTTTCTCCAGAGATCCGCTGTTAGTCTGATGGCCTTCCCTTTGTAGGTAACCTGACCTTTCTCTCTGGCTGCCCTTAACATTTTTTCCTTCATTTCAACTTTGGTGAATCTGACAATTATGTATCTTGGAGTTGCTCTTCTCGAGGAGTATCTTTGTGGTGTTCTCTGTATTTCCTGAATTTGAATGTTGGCCTGCCTTGCTAGGTTGGGGAAGTTCTCCTGGATAATATCCTGCAGAGTGTTTTCCAACTTTGTTCCATTCTCCCCATCACTTTCAGGTACACCAATCAGACGTAGATTTGGTCTTCTTTTCACATAGTCCCATATTTCTTGGAGGATTTATTCATTTCTTTTTACTCTTTTTTCTCTAAACTTCTCTTCTCGCTTCATTTCATTCATTTGATCTTCAATCACTGATACCCTTTCTTCCACTTGATCGAATCAGCTACTGAAGCTTGTGCATGCATGCATCACATAGTTCTCATGCCATGGTTTTCAGCTCCATCCGGTCATTTAAGGTCTTCTCTATGCTGTTTATTCTAGTTAGCCGTCTGTCTAATCTTTTCTCAAGGTTTTTAGCTTCTTTGCAATGGGTTCGAACATCCTCCTTTAGCTCGGAGAAGTTTGTTATTACTGATCATCTGAAGCCTTCTTCTCTCAACTCATCAAAATCATTCTCCATCCAGCTTTGTTCCATTGCTGGCGAGGAGCTGCATTCCTTTGGAGGAGAAGAGGCACTCTGATTTTTACAATTTTCAGCTTTTCTGCTCTGGTTTCTCCCCATCTTTGTGGTTTTATCTACCTTTGGTCTTTGAGGAAGGTGACGTACAGATAGGGTTTTGGTGTGGATGTTGTTTCTGTTTGTTAGCTTTTCTTCTAACAGTCAGGACTCTCAGCTGCAGGTCTGTTGGAGTTTGCTGGAGGTCCATTTCAGACCCTGTTTGCCTGGGTATCACCAGCGGAGGCTGCAGAATAGTGAATATTGCTGAACAGCAAATGTTGCTGCCTGATCGTTCCTCTGGAAGCTTCATCTCAGAGGGGTACCCAGCCATGTGAGGTGTCAGTCTGCCCCTACTGGGAGGTGCCTCCCAGTTAGGCTACTCAGGGGTCAGGGACCCACTTGAGGAGGCAGTCTGTCTGTTCTCAGATCTCAAACTCCATGCTGGGAGGACCACTACTCTCTTCAAAGCTGTCAGACAGGGAGGATTAAGTCTGCCGAAGTTTCTGCTGCCTTGTGTTCAGCTACGCCCTGCCCCCAGAGGTGGAGTCTACAGAGGCAGGCAGGCCTCCTTGAGCTGTAGTGGGTTCCACCCAGTTCGAGCTTTTCTTTGTTTACCCACTCAAGCCTCAACAATGGCAGATGCCCCTCCCCCAGTCTCACTGCCTCCTTGCAGTTCGATCTCAGACTGCTGCACTAGCAGTGAGCGAGGCTCCTTGGGCGTGGGACCCTCCCAGCCAGGCAAGGGATATAATCTCCTGGTGTGTTGTTTGCTAAGACCATTGGAAAAGTGCAGTATTAGGGTGGGAGTGTCCCAATTTTCCTGGTACCATCAGTCACGGCTTCTCTTGGTTAGGAAAGGGAATTCCCCAACCCCTTGTGCTTCCCAGGTGAGGCGATGCCCTACCCTGCTTCAGCTCACGCTCTGTGGGCTGCACCCACTGTCCGACAAGCCCCAGTGGGATGAACCCAGTACCTCAGTTGGAAATGCAGAAATCACCCATCTTCTGCGTCACTCATGCTGGGAGCTGTAGACTGGAGCTGTTCCTATTCAGCCATCTTGCAACCCAGTTTTCCCCCTTTGCCAATATTTTAACCAGTTTATTTTACAGTCTTTTGCCTATTTTGAGTTGAGATATTTATTTTTTTATTATTGAGTTTCAAGAGTTATTTATATATTCTGGATACATGTCATCTGTCAAATAAATGTTTAGTCAGTGTTTTCTTTTTCTTTGTACCTTGTCTATTCATTTGCTTAATAATGCCTTTTGATAAACAGATCTTTCAAGTTTTGATGTAGTCTAACTTATTTGACATGTTAAGAATATTGCTTTCTTTGCCCTAAGAAATCTTTGCTGACCTTGGCCATGAAAGTACCCTCCTACGTTTTCTTCTGAAGACTTCAGAGTTCAAGATTGTATGCCTATAACCCATTTAAAATTAATGTTTGTATATGATCTGATGTAAGGGTCAAGGTTTGTTTTTTTTCTTTCCCATATGAATATCTGGTTATTCCAAATCATTTGTTGAAAGACTTTCATTTCTCTCCATTGAATTTTTTTGCATCTTTGTTGAAAATTAACAGTCTGTACATTTAGTCTATTTCTAAACTTTCTATTAGATTCCACTGATCTCTTTGTCTATCTTAAAAATAATACCTCATTGTCTTAATTATTATAGCTTTACAGCAAATCTTGAAATCAGGCAACCTAAATCTTCCAATTTTGTTCTACTTTCTCAAAATTGTTGGGTATTTTGATGTTCACATGCATTTTACAAGCAGTATGTAAAAGTCTACTAAAAAATACTGCTGGAATTATCATGGTGACTGAATCTCTAGATGAATTCAGTGAAATCTGACATTTTAAAAACATTAAAACATCCAATCAGTGAATATGGTACATATGTATTTACTTAGGTCTTCTTTCATTGGTCTCAGTAATGTTCAGTACTGTTCTCTGTATGGGTCTTGCACACATTTTGTAAAATTTATCCCTATTTAATGGATTTTTATGCTACTGTAAATGGTATCATGTTTTAAAATTAATTTTTCAATTACTAGCTGTTAGCATATAGAAATAAAATTGATTTTTGGCCATTGACCTTGTATCCAGTGACTTTGTCAAATTCATTTACTAATCTTGTAGTGACTTTGTAGAAACCTTGGAAATTTCCATGTAGATAGTCATGTCATTTATGAAGAGACAGTTTTATGTATTCCTTTCTCATTTGTATATATTTATTTTTGTTGCCAGAGCCTCCAGTACAATGTTGAATAGGTGTGGTAAGAGCAGACATTGCTCTTGACACTGCCTTTCATCAGTAAATAGGATGCTAACTGTAGGTATTTTGTAGATGTTCTTTATCAGATTGGAGAAGTCCTTATCTATTCCTAGTTTGCTGGAAGTTTTTTTTTTAATCATGAATAAGTGTTCAATTCTGTCAAATGCCTTTCTGCAACTATTGAGATAATTATATTATTTTTCTCCTTTATTACTTGGTACAGTAAATTACACTGATAGCTTCAAATTTTAAACCAACCTTACATTTCTGATAAATCCCATTCCTGATAAATTGTTTGATGTAATATGGTTTTTATCATGTATTAAAATCTAGATTAGATTTACTAATACTTTATTAATAATTTTATATTTATACTCATATTCATAGGGATATTGGCCTGTAATTTTCTTTTATTCAGATGGATATTGGTCTGTAATTTTCTTTTATTATAATGTCTTTGTTAGGATTTGGTATCAAAAACCTACTTGAGAATTGTTTTCACTCTTCTATTTTTTGTGGAAGACTGGTATTATTTCTTCCTAAAGTGTTTGACAGAATTTACCAGTGAAATCATCCAGATCTGGATTTTTCTCTAGGAGATATTTTAATGACAATTTCAACTTCCCTAAAAGATACATAAGAAATTTGCCCATTTTATCTACATTTCAAATTTACTGGCATGAAGTAATCCATCACAGTCCCCCCTTTCTTATCTTTTTAATGCTTGTATTATCTATGCTAATTATGTACTCTTTCATTCTTGCCTGCAGTGAATTTTACTTTCTCTCCCTTTTTTTGTGGTCAGTTCTGCTAGGGCTTATCAGCTTTATTGATATTTTCAAATAATCAACTTTTGACTTCATTTAATTGTTTCTCCTATTTATTTGATATGTCTTATTCTAATTATTTCCTTTTGTCTACTTTCTGTGAATTTAATTTGCTCACTTTTTTAGTTTCTAGATAAAAACCTAGATCACTTCTTCTTTTCTAAAATAAACATTTAAAACTCTAAATTTCCCTCTAAGAGCTCCTTTATTTGTACCTTACAAATTTTTATGTTTTATGTCTATCTCATCATTCCGTTTAAAATAATTTATCATTTTCCTTGTGATTTCTTCTTTGGCCCATGAATTATTTATTAGTCTGATGTTTAATTCTCAAATATCCGGGCTTTTCCAGATATCTTATACTTACCTACTCCTGATTCAATTCTACTGGAGTGAGAGAACATATTCTGTAAGACTTCAGTCTTCTGAAATATATGGAGACTTGTTTATGGCTCAGCATGTAGTCTATTTTGGTAAACATTCTATGTGAATTTCAACAATTTATAGTTGCAGATATAGTGTTCTATAAATATCATTTAAATCAAGGTAGTTAATAGTGATGTTCAGATTTTCTACATCCTTATAGATGTTTTAATAGTTGTTCTATCAGTTGCTGAAAGGGGGATATTATGAGTATAGTATTTTCTATTGCTCATTTTATCAAGTTTTTGCTTCATTTATTTTGAAGCTTTATTATTAGGTGCAAAGATATACCTAATTAATTGTTATATCTTTTTAATGAATTGACAACTTTATCATTATAAAATGCCCCTACTGATCTTTAATAATACTACTTGTCTTATATTTGTTATTAAAATTGTCATTTCTTATTAAAATTGTCACTCCACTTTCTTATGCTTACTATTGGCATGATAGTATTTCTTTCCTTCATCTTTTTCCTTTAAACCTCTTTGTGTCTTTATACTAAATACAATGTATCTCTTGTAATAGTATATGGTTTGCCCTTGATTTTTTTAATCTAGCATGACCATTTCTGCCTTTTTATTAAAACATTTGTCCATTCACATTTAATATAATTATTGATATGCTTGAGTTCAGATCATTATGTTATTTGTCTTCTATTCATATCTGTTTTTTTGTTTCTCTGCCCTCCCTTTGGAGTTTATCAAAGTTTTTTCATATTCCACTTCATTTCAATTCCTCTACTGACTTTTTTGCTATTGTTATGGACTAGATATTTGTATTCCCCTAAAATTCATATGTTGAAATCCTACCTCCAGTGTGATAGTATTAGAAGGTAGGGCCTGTGGGAAGTGATTAGGTCATAAGGATGGAGCCTTCATTAATGGGATTAGTGTCACGTTGTAAAAAGGATCCCAGAGAGCTCTCTTGTCCCTTCTGCCATTTGAGACACAATGAAAAGTTGGCTGTTTATGAACCAGGAATCAGGGTCCCACCAGACACTGAATCTGCCAGTGACTTGATTTTTTAATTCCCAGTCTCCAGTACTGTAAGAAATAAATGTTCATTGTTTATATGCCACCCAGTCTGTGGTATTTTGTTTTAGAAACCTAAACTAAGACAGCTATACTTCAGTTGCATTATTTTGTAGGGGTTGCTCTAAGGAGGATAGTATGTATCACTAACTTACCAAACTCTATTTAAGTGTTAATATTGTACTATTTCACATGTAATGTAAAAATGCTACAACAAAATAGTTATATTTACTCCCCTGTCCTTTGTGTTATGGTAGTCACACAGATTATAAACTCTATAATAGCAATTTGTTTTCCTTTAAGCAGCCATATATACCGTTTTAAAATTAAAAGAAAAATATATCGCCTTTTAAATTCATCTCAATATTTACTATTTCCAGTGCTTTTCATTGATCAGTTTCCATCTAATGCCATTTTCCTTCAACTTGAAGAAATTCCTTAAGTATTGCTTAGGGTACAGCTTTTGAAGTCATGTTGTCTTCATTTAATAAAGCTTTTTGCTGCATACAGAATTCTGGGTTGATGGTTTATTTTTGTTAGCATTTTATAAATGTCATTCCTTTGTCATCTGACCTTCACTGTCCTGATACAAGGTCAGCCATCATCTGTGTCACTGTTGTGCAATGTGACATTTTTTTCTGTCTGCCTTTAAAAGTTTCTTTTTATCTTTGGTTTTAGCACTTTGACTAAGATATGACTGCCTACATATGGTTTTGTGCCTATCTTGCTTTGGATTTGCTGAGGGCCATGGATCTGCAAGTTTGTTTTAAGTGTGATAAATTTTTGAGAAATTTCTCAATTAATTTTTTCTGCCCAGGTCAGGCACAGTCACTCACACCTGTAATCCTAGCAATTTGGGAGGCTGAGGCAGGTGGATCACTTGAGCCTAGGAGTTCCAGATCAGCCTGGGAAACATGGCAAAACCCCATCTCTACCAAAAATACAAAAATTAGCTGGATGTGATGGCATACTCCTGTAGTCTCAGCTACTCAGGAGGCTGAGGTAGGAGGATCACCTGAGTCCAGGAGATCGAGGCTGCGGTGAGCTGTGATCACTCCACTGCACACTCCAGCCTTGGTGCCAGAGTGAGACTCTGTCTCAAAAACGAAAATTTTATTTGCCCTATTCTCTCTCTCTTCTTACTTGGGGACTCCAATTACACACTTAAAAATACTTGTTATTGTTCTACAGGCCACCGAGGCACTATTCCTTTCTTTTAAAAACTCTTCTTCTGTGTACTTCTGACTGGGTAATTTCTACTTACCCAACTTCCAGTTTACTGACACTTGATTCATTTGTATTCAATCTACTATTAGGACCATTTGGTTTTTGTTTTGGTTTTGGTTTTTAAAGACATTTTACTTTTCAGTTCTAAAACTTCCATTTGATTATTTTCAGTTTCCATTTCTTCACTGACATTCCCCATCTAGTCTTTCATTATGACCATATTTTCCTTTCTGTCTTTGAAGATGTTTATAATAGCTGCATAAAAGACTTTATCTGCTAATTCTAACATCTGGGTTATTTCAGTGTTATTTTTTATTGACTGATTTTTATACTATTGGTTGACATTTTTGTTGTCTTCTGTTTGGGGATAATACAAAGAATGTTGCTGTGAATATTTTTGTACCTTTCTCCTTACTCTACCTAGGAGTAGAAGAGCTGAATTATAAGATATATGAATCTGCTACTTTTATATAGAATATCAACCATTTATGAAAATCCTTACTTAATTTTTAATCACATTTATATATTTTTAATTTCAAATATTATTAAAATAAGGTATAAGATTTTTATGTTTCCTTCCAAAAAGCACATAATTAATACAATGAGAAATGCTGTTTTCCATTCATAATTCAAAAACTATTTATTGAATACTTACTGTCAGTCATTGTTCAAAGACATAGGAATAAGATTACAAAATATGGCTCTAATATCAGGAGCTTACACTGTAAGGCTTTAATTTGTTTTATACAAGTAAATGGTTTTCAATCCCTTTCTGCAGCAGGATAATCACACATAGAGCTTTTTAAAATGTAGATTCCAAGAATCCATTCCACTTACTCAATTTCACTTTTTAATATGGAAGTAGGGAATATGACCACACACAAAGAGCTCATGCATGCACATATATTCTTAAGCTGCTTGAATCCAAGCTTAAGAATATATGTGCATGCTAAATCACAGATGTGTACTCTATTACAACTAAAAGAGTTGATCTCCTCTATTTAAAAAGATAACAACCTTTCAACTTTTCAATTGATACTGTTATGGTATAAATTGAATTTATACTGTATAAACAAGTGGAATAAAATGTCTAAATTCTCATCTATCTATTAGTATTTAAAAAACAAAAATAAAGATGCCAAATACCTTTATCTCATAAACATTCAGTTGCTTGCTTTCTGCTGTACCTTTTTTTTTCAAGGCCTTATTCTGTTAAAATTAAAAATAATTATATTTAGTACTAAAGTTATTCAAACTTACCTTGCTACTGACTTAGACTTAAATTACTAAAGGAAGGGAAAGCATTATTCTCTAAAACTGTGGTGAAAATATCAGTTTGATTTTGAGAATATTTATAAAAAATACATACCTCCTGCTGAAGTTCTTCAATATACTTGTTTTTATTTTCAACTTGTTTCCTTAAATTGTTACACTAAAAAATTGTGAGAAATTATAGCTATTTTATTCAGTATACCAGTTGAAACAGGCAATTTCAGACTAATAAAAATATTGCATAAAGTACTGATAAAGGTCACTTCAAAATCATGGTAATTCCATTAATATAAAAATTATACTAAAATCACAAATTTCAATAAAGATCATCTAAATACAAATGCAATCATAGCTCACTGCAACTTCCAACTCCTGGGTTCAAGTGATCCTCTCACCCCAGCCTCCCAAAGTGCTGGGATTACAGGTGTGAGCCACTATACTCAGCCTCAGTATCTCTTTTTTTAAAAAAAAAATTATCTTTGTATGTGAAGTGATGAATATGTTAACTAGCATGATTTAATCATTTCACAATGTATACATATATCAAAACATCACTTTGTATACCATTAATATATATAATTTCTCTCAGTTAAAAAAATCATTTTCATGTTACTTATATGTCAACATTCATCATTCTTATCTTTGCAATGTTTTATCAGCTTTCCCAGTTTATCTCGAATTTTTTAAATTGTCTTGTACATAAATGTTTATAATCCCCTAAATATAGCTTTCACAAACATTTATTAATTCTGAACTTTGCAACAATCCAATGAGATAGAAAGGATCGGTATTATCTCCATTTGAGAGATGAGGAAACTAAGGCTCAGATAGATAAAATATATATAAAATAAAAAATGTCTGAACTAAGGTAGCAGATTGGGGGAAGAAAAGTGTAATGAAATTCAATGTCACACAAAATATCTGGGAAATATTTACAACCTGGATTCTTTCTGGGAAACTGTTTTAACAGGTAAGTTGAAATCCAAATATGGAAAACTGAAATATGCTAAAAATTTGTCATGCATTTAATTTTTTTCCTTAAATCGTCACTAATATTTTCTATATTGGCAAAATAAAGTATGTCTTAAATTCTTAATGGAGGATTTTATTTTACATTAAAAATTAAATTCATGTTTTTCTCCATTAACAAACAACAGGCTTAATGATCTGCAGTGGCCTCTGATACAAATTTTAAAGTAGTGAATTACATACCAAGTATTTAGCACATTAAGTTCATTTTTTTCAGGTTGAATTTAACTAATAAATATGAACTAAAGGAAAAATAGCTTTTCAGGGAGGAAAATGTGTTATAATTTAAAGAATGTAGAAGACCACCTCTACTACCTCTTAGTCATGTAACCTTTTGAAGGTTTTTATCCTTTGGAGGTCTGATTTCCCAATTTATAAAATAAGAGCAATAATGACTTCTAGTTAAGTAAGATAATACATAGAAAGAACCTAGAATGCACCTGGTCTATTGTAAGCCCTTTAAAATGGTACCTTATTTCATCCTTGAACTATTCCAATAGTTTTACAGCTCTCAAAAGTGTAAATATAATTTTAACAATCTTCATGTCAAAATTCTTCAATGACCTCAAACTCTTAAATGTAGCTTAGGTGGCCTTAAATGATCCACCCTCATTTTTCCCCACCTTCATCTCTCCATGCTTACCTCTCCCTACCCTCATCTTTCCTCACTCTGCCCTCTACCACCACTACCTTAAACTCCATCTTTTAGTTACAATGAATTTTTTGTAGTTACTTAAATATGCCATGCTCTGATACTTTCAGGCTTACCCATATAATGTTTATGTTTTTTTAACTTAGAATATTATCCTCCCTGCTATACTTGTATCCACCACCTGTCCTCCACTAATCCCTATTAATCTAAGGCTTCACATTGAATGTGACTTCTTTCAGGAAGCACGCCCTAGCTCAAGTTTGGATTAGATGTCCTTTCTATAGACTCTAATAGTATCCAGATAGAGAACCTATGTTTGGTCTGGCCAGCACCCTTTCTTGCAAGAATTCCTCTACTATAAAATCCACAGTAGTCCTGCTGGCTAACTCTATCTCTATGAGTCGACATGCAGCTCAGGCTTAGCCAGGTTACTCTATCCCCTAGCCACAGTGATTGACTCAGGAATAAGTGTGAACTGAACTAGGCCAGAGTCCTCTCCAAGATTTTTTTAGAACTTTCAAGATGACTTTTAATAGCTTTCCAACTGATTCCAATGCCTTTTATCTCTCCCCATTCCATTCTCAAATATTAAAAGGTGTCACCTGCTCAATAAAAAACTTTAATTAGATCACTACTCTCTACCAAATAAATGAAATCCAAACGTAACACCCAGAACAGTGCCTGGCACATAGTAGGTGGTCAATATTTGTTGAATGAATGAAAAAACACAATCAAAGACCTCAAAATCTAGATCAATTTTCCACTTTGGCAGAATTTTCTTCCAATCTGTATAATATATACTATAATCATGTCACATATCTTGTACTATTCCATTTTCATGACACTCTTCCCTAAACACCTTATTATCTTAATTTGATATCATATTCACCAAAGCATGACACAAACTTATTAAATAATTTGTCATCCATATATTTTATATTACTGAAGTATGAGCCTTTTATTTTGCCTAAAAAATGTTAAGTCTACATTAAATATTTAACACGTTAAAAGAAAATCAGAATTATGCCACTATTTCTTCTAGATATAGATATCAATAGTAAAATAATCCAACCTTTCCTAGATATTTAAGGTTGATGGCTGATGACAGTCTCTAGATCACTATTATTTATACAACAGTATACTTCCCTTTATTTTAGTTTAGACATATGGTGTTGCTTTTATAATTTGAAATTTTGTGATACGATCCATTATTAAATATAACATACATTTTCTTCACTCTTGTCCAATTTACATTTAACTTCATCTCTTTTCTGTTTTAGCTCTTCTCTCACATATTCTAGTTCATTTCTAAAAGAAAATGGAAGAGTGACATTATACTAAAAATTATTAGGCCTATAGAAGATCTCAAATAACTCAAAATAAGGAAGTCTTAAAGACCACATTCTTTAACCAAATGTAAAAAACCAAAACTGAATACTTCATAATATAAGTACAAACAAGAGCCCCCAAATATGTGGAATTCATCTAGGCTACTAATGGATTAAACAGAAACTTAAAATATAAAAACAAGTTGTTTAGAAAATAATGAACATGGAAACACTACATATCAAACACTATATCATAAATTCATCATTGTGTTCAGAAGTAAATTGATGGCTTAAAATGTTTTTATAGTTTTAAAAAAGAGAAACTAAATATCAAAATACAAAGCAACAGGGGCAGAGCTGCCCAAGGCCTTAGGAGTCCACCCTTTGCAGCAGTGTTCCCTGAATGTGGTATATAGAGTCAAAGGAGATTATTTTGGAGCTTTAAGATTTAATGACTGCCCTGCTGGGTTTTAGATTTGCATGGAACCTGAACTCAATTCTTCTGGCTGATTTCTCCATTTTGGAATGGGAGTATTTATCAATTGTATCTTGGAAGTAATTAACTTGTTTTGATTTTACAGGTGGAGGGGATTTGCCTTGTCTCAGATGAGATTTTGGCTTTTGGATTTTTGAGTTAATGGTGGAATGAGTTAGACTCTGGGGGACTATTTGGAAGGCATGATTGTATTTAGGAATGTGAAAAGTACATGAGATTTGGGTGCGGGGAAGTGCAATGATACAGTTTGGATATTTGCTCTCACCCAAATTTCATATTGAAATGTAATCACCAATATTGGAGGTGGGGCCTGGTGGGAGGGGTTTGGGTTGTGGGGGAGGATCCCTCATGGCTTGGTGATGCCTGCAATAGCGAACTCTTGCAACATTTGGATGTTTAAAAGTGTGTCCTCCCCACCACTCTTGCTCCTGCTTTTGCCATGTGAAGTGCCTCCTTTGCTTTCTACCATGAGTAAAATTTCCCTAAGGCCTTCCAAGAAGCTGAGCAGATGCCATCACCATGCTTTCTGTATGACCTATGGAACTATGAACCAATTAACCTCTTTTCTTTAGAAATTACCCAGTCTCAGGTATTTCTTTATAGCAATACAAGAATGCCTAGTAGACATGCCTACAAGATCTAGAAAACAGCCTCAAAAGGGCAAATCTAAGAGTCATTGGCCTTAAAGAGGAGGTAGAGACAGAGATAAGGGTAGAAAGTTGATTCAAGGGGATAATAACAGAGAACTTCCCAACCTAGAGAAAGATCTAAATATTCAAGGACAAGAAGGTTATTAGAATACCAACTATATTTAAACCAAAGAAGGCTTCCTTAAGGCACTTAAAAATCAAACTCACAAAGGTCAAGGATAAAGAAAGAATCCCAAAAGCAGCAAGAGAAAAGAAATAAATAACATATAGTATGTCTGGCAGCAGACTTTTCAATGGAAACCTTACAGGCCCAGAGAGGGTCATGACATATTTAAAGTGCTGAAGGAAAAAACTTTTACCCTAGAATAGTATATCCAGTGAAAATATCCTTCAAACATGAAGGAGAAATAAAGACTTTTTCAGACAAACATAAGCTAAGAAATTTCATTAACACCAGACCTGTCTTACAAGAAATGGTAAAGAGAGTTCTTCCATCTGAAAGAAAAGAATGTTAATGAGCAATAAGAAATCATCTGAAGATACACAACTCACTGGTAACAGTAAATACATAGAACATTATAACACTGTAATTGTGGAATGTAACTACTCATATCTGTTTTTGTTTTTTTTTTTTGAGACAGAGTCTCACTCTTGTCACTCACTGCAACCTCCACCTCCCAGATTCAAGCAATTCTCCTGCCTCAGCCTCCCCAGTAGCTAGGATTACAGGCACCCGCCACCACACCCGGCTAATTTTTCTATTTTTAGTAGAGACAGGGTTTCACCATGTTGGCCTGGCTGGTCTCAAACTCCTGACCTCAGGTGATCTGCCCCCCTCAGCCTCCCAAAGTGCTGGGATTACAGGAGTGAGCCACCGTACCTGGCCTCGTATCTTAAGTAGGAAGACAAAAAGATGAACTGATGAAAAATAATAACAATTTTTCCAGACATAAACACAATAATAAAATATAAATAAAAACAACAAAAAGTTTAAAACCAGGGAAACAAAGTATAGAGTTTTTATTAGTTTTCTCTTTGTTTATTTGCTTATGCAATCAGTTAACTTGTCATCAGTTTAAAATAATGGGTTATAAGATATTATTTGCAAGCCTAATGGTAACTTCAAATAAAAAAAATACAACAAATAAACAAAAATGAAAAAGTAAGAAATTAAAATATACCACCAAAGAAAATTGCCTTCACTAAAAGGAAAACATGAAGGAAAGAAAGAAGAGACCACAAAACAACCAGAAAACAAATAACGAAATGGCTAGAGTAAGTCCTTACTTATCAATAATAACATTGAATGTAAATGGACTAAACTCTTCAATCAAAAGACATAGAGCAATTGAATGGATAGAAAAACAAGACCCAACAGGCTGTTGCCTAACAAGAAACACCTCTTCACCTGTAAAGATACACAGAGACTGAAAATATAGGAACGGTAAAAGAAACTCCATGCAAATGGAAACTAAAAAAGAGCAGAAATAGCTATACTTATGCCAGACATTATGGATTTCAATACAAAAACTATAAAAAGAGACAAAGAAGGTCATTATATAATGATAAAGGGATGAATTCAGCTAGAGAATATAACAATTACAAAGATATATGCACCCAACACTGGAGCACACAGATATATAAAACAAATATTATTAGAGCTAAAGAGAGATAGGTTCCAGTAAAATAATAGCTGGTAACTTAAACACCCCACTTTCAGCACTGGACAAATCACCCAGACTTTGAGCATCCAAAGAAACATCAATCAATCTGCACTTTAGACCAAATGAACCTAATATATATTTACAGAACATTTCATCCAACAATTGCAGAATAAACATCCTTCTCCTAAGCACATGGAACATTCTCAAGGACAGACCATACGTTAAGCCACAAAACAAGTCTTAAAACATTTAAAAAATTGAAATCAGATCAAGTACCTACTCTGACTACAATGAAATTGAACTGAAAGTTAATAACAAGAAGAATTTTGAAAACTGTAAAAACACATGAAAATTTAAAAATATGCTCCTGAATGGTTAGTGGGTCAATAAAGAGATTAAGAAGAAAACTGAAAAATGTCTTGAAACAAAGGATAATAGAAAGATAACATACCAAAACCTATGGGATACAGCAAAAGGAGTATTAAGAGGTGTGTTTGTAAGTGCCTACATCAAAAAAGTTTTAAAAAGTCAAATAACCTAATGATGCATCTTAAAAAACTACAAAAAGAAGAGCAAACCAAACCCAAATTAGTAGAAGAGAATAATAAAGATCAGAGCAGAAATAAATGAAATTAAAGAAAACAATACAAAACATCAACAAAACAAAAAGTTGGTTTTTTGAAAAGATAAAATTGACAAAACTTTAGGAAGACGAACTAAGAAAAAAAGAGAGAAGACCAAAATAAATTTTAAAAAGGAGATGAAAAGGGAGACATTATAACCAATATCACAGAAATTCAAAGGATCATTAGAGGCTACTCTAAGCAACTACACATCAATAAATTGGAAAACCTAGAACAAATGGATAAATACCTAGACACATACAACCCTCCAAAATTGAACCATGAAGAAATCTAAAACCTGAACAGACGAAAAACAAGTAATAAGATCAAAGCTATAATAAAAAGTCTTCCAGCAAAGAAAAACCCAGGACCTGATGGCTTCACTGCTGAATTTTTCAAAACATTTAAAGAATTAATATCAATCCTACAGAAACTATTCCAAAAAATAAAGGAGGAGGGAATATAGCTAAACTCATTCTGTGAGGCAAGTATTACCCTGATACCAAAGCCAAATAAAGACACATAAAAAAAGGAAACTAAAGGCCAATATCCCTGATGAACATTGATGCAAAAATCTTCAACAACATACTAGCAAACCAAATTCAACAATACATTAAAAAGATCATTAATCATAACCAAGTGAGATTTATCCCACAAATGTAAGGATAATCAACATATACAAATAAATCAATGTGATACATTATATCAACATGCTATAGGACAAAAACCATATGATCATTTCAATTGATGCTGAAAAGCATTTGATAAAATTCAACATCTGTTCATGATAAAAACCCTCAAAAAACGGGGTACGGAAGGAACATAGCTCAACATAATAAAAGCATATATGACTGACCCACAGTTAGTATCATACTGAATGGGGAAACACTGAAGGTCTTTCCTCTTAGACCTGGAACACAGCAAGGATGCCCACTTTCACCACTGTTATTCAACATAGTACTGGAGGTCTTAGCTACAGGAATTAGACAAAAGGAAGAAATAAAGGGCATTCAAATTGGAAAAGAAGTCAAATTATCCTTGCGTGCAGATGTATATTTCTTGGAAACATGTATATTTCCAAGTATAATCTTATACTTGGAAAAGCCTAATGATCTCACCAAAAAACTATTAGAACTAATAAGCAAATTCAGGAAAGTTTCAGGATAAAAGAATCAGTAGCATTTCTATATGCCAACAGCAAACAATCTGAAAAATAAATCAAGAAAGTACTCCCATTTACAATAGCTATAAATAAAATTAAACACCCAGAAATTAACCCAACCAAAAAAGTGAAAAATCTTTACAATGCAAACTATAAAACACTGATTAATGAAATTTAAGAGGACACACAAAAAAAGGAAAGACACTACGTGTTCACGGACTGGAACAATCAATACTGTTAAAATGTCTGTACTACCCAAAGCAGTCTACAGATTCAATGCAATCTCTATCAAAATACCAATGACATTATTCACAGAAATAGAAGAATCAATCCTAAAATTTATATAGAACCACAAAAGACCCAGAATAGCCCAAGATATTCTGGGCAAAAAGAACAAAACTAGAGGAATTACATTACCTGATTTCAAAATGTACTACCTAGCTATAGTAACCAAAACAGCATGGCATTAGCATAAAAACAGAAATATAGACCAATGAAACAGAACAGAGAACTCACAAACAAATCCATTCATCTGCAGTGAACTCATTTTTGACAAAGGTGCCAAGATCACACATTGGGGAAAGGATAGTCTCGATACACAGTGCTGGGAAAACTGGATATCCATATATCCATATGCAGAAGAATGAAACTAGACCCCTATCTCTTGCCATATATAAAAATCAAATCAAAATGGATCAAGGACTTAAATCCAAGATCTCAAGCTATGAAATTACTAAAAGAAACCGTCGAGGAAACTCTCCAGGACATTGGACTGGGCAAAGATTTCTTGAGTAATATCCCACAATTACAGACAACCAAAGCAAAAATAGATAAGTCAGATCACATCAAGTTAAAAAGCTTCTGCACAGAAAAAAAAAAATCAACAAAGGGAGGACACAACCCACAGCATGGGAAAAAATATTTGTAAACTATCCATCTGACAAGGGATTAATACACACAATATATAAGGGGCTCAAAAAACTCTATGGGAATAAGTCTAATAATCCTATGGGAAAAAATGGGCGAAAGATCTAAATAGGCATTTTTCAAAAGAAGACATACCAATGGCAAACAGGTATATGAAAAGGTGATCAACATCATTGATCATCAGAGAAATGCAAATCAAAACTACAATGAGATATCATCTTACCCCAGTTAAAATGGCTTTTATCCAAAAGTCAGGCAATAAAAAATACTGGCGAGGATGCAGAGAAAAAGGAAACCCTCATACACTGCTGGTGGGAATGTAAATTCGTACAACCACTATGGAGAATGGCTTGGAGGTTCCTCAAAAATAGAGCTACCGTATCACCCAGCAATCCCACTCCTGTGTATACACCCAAAAGAAAGGAAATCAGTATATCTAAGAGACATTTGCACTCTGTTAATTGAAGCACTGTTCACAATGGCCAATATTTGGAAGCTATGTAAGTGTCCATCAACAGGTGAATGGATAACAAAAATGTGATGCATATACACCATGGAGTACTATTCAGCCATAATAAAGAATGAGATCTTGTCATTTGTAACAGCATAGATGGAACTGGAGGTCATTAAGTTAACTGCAATAAGACAGGTACAGACAGACAAACTTTGCATGTTCACTTATTTGAAGGAGCTAAAGTTACAACAATTGAACTCATTAAGATAGAGAGTAGAAAGAGGGTTTCCAGGGGCTAGGAAGAGTAGTGGTGATAGGAGGAAATGGAGATGGTTAATGAGTACAAAAAATAGAAAGTGAATCACATCTAGTATTTAATAGCACAACAAGGTGATTATAATCAATAATAATTTACATGTACTTTTTTTAAAAGTAAAAGTATAATTGGGCTATTTGTAACACAAAGGATAAATGCTTAAAGTGATGCATACCCCATTTACTCTGATATGATTATTACACATTGTATGCCTGTATCAAAATGTCTTATATACCCCATACTTATATATACCTACTATGCACCCACAAAAATTAAAAATCGAAAATTAAAAAGAAACCTTAAAAGAAGCAATGGTAAAATCACAAAAGACAATCAAGTTTAATAAAAAATTGAAACCTTTCATATAATAAAAAGTTCTCTGAAGTTAAAGGAAAACAACAGGTTAGGGAAAATATGTGCTATAAATAAACCAGGTAAAAGATTAATATATTTTTAGAAGCTTAAGCAAATCAATAAAAAAAAAAAACCTCAAAAGATTAGAGGGCAACAGGTATAAGCAGACAATTTTAAAAAGAAGAAATTCTAAAATCAAACTTGAAAGCTTCCAAAGCTTATCCAAAAACTAAAAATCACAAATCATACCAAAAATGACTTATCCTTATCTTTTAAATTATCAATAAATTAATAATACCCAATATCAATTAAAACATTTTAGGACCAGCATTTTCATATAATATTTGTTGTATTGCATGGTTTACAATGATACAACCTATTGGAAACTAACCATCAAGCCATAGAAATCATTATTACTATGATCCAATTCAAAATAAGGAAAAAGTATTTATGTGCCAACATGTTTACTAGTATTATCTATGAAAATGAAAAACTAAAAAACATAAATATCCAAAAGTAAAAATGACTAAAATAATGTCATTACATCCACTTGAATGACTGGTAGATGGGCATTAAAATAGATGACTGTGAAAACACATAAAAACATTAATAATGCTAAAAATAATATTAAATGGAAAAACCACATACAAAATTATATATGTATGATTATAAGCAATGACCAAATACATTCTTTAAAATATAGAGTGGGTACACCTATGGGAAGCTGACTTCCCTCAGTCGGGCACTTCTCATGGGGGCTGAACATGGTTCCTGCCATTCTGTTACCCACTCTCCCAGGTGAGCCCTGGATTGGCTCCCAGAACGCCTTTGTAAAATCAGTAGCCATCCTGCAGGCAGGCGGGACAACAGGGGCTTCAGTAGCTTCATTTTCCTGTCTTGCAGACAGAGACCCTTGGCTACCACTGTGCTGCTAATAGGATAAGTACTCTGTTGCCGGATTACCATGCCTTTTATACAAAACCAAATTAACTTACCTAATACCTGACACCTCTTTGGGCTCTGAACTGCTTTCTCTCATCAAGCATGCTAGCCCTCTAGACAGAATTCTAGAAATTTGGCAGATAGTGGAAGTCTTTAATTGAACTTACTCCTTATTTGACTGAAAAGAGTTTTAAATTCTGAGCTCCTGAGATACTGACTAGCAACCATGGAATGAATGTGTGACCAGAAAGTGGCTTTGACACCAAGTGCTGCTGTCCCTTTGTAATTGGCTTCTAACGGATTCAACCAGAAATAACTGATAATGTGAATTTGTGTTAATTGTTCACTTGTAGGAAAATAGAACACGTATCACCCTTTGTTAGGTAGACATGAACTTTTCCTGCACAAAGCCTTGCTTTTAGAGAATGCCCAATAAGGCAAGAAAAAGCATAGTAACTTGTGCTTTGAGAGCTCAATATTTGTATCTTATCAGTACAGAAGAAATATTTCTGTGTAACTTGATCTTCTGTCTAGTACTTGTCTTATAGGTAACCAACACTGAAAACTTTGTAGTGATGGCTACCAAAGAAATACAAAAAAACAACCTTTTATTTCCAAATTGTTAAAGAGCCAGCCATTGATGCTGCTACCTGAGTTCCATGCTCAAGAGCCATTGTAAGAGATTAAGGGGTTTCTAGGTTTTTGGTGATTTTTTGTTTGTTTTTTTCTTTGTTTTTTAGTTTGTTTTTTTTTTAGTTTTTTTTCTTCTTTCTTTAATTTTTTGATTAAAACATACACACAGCTGTTAGCATAAAGTCGTGGGGGGCATTTTCTGATTAACTGCAAAGCCCAGGTTGCCTCTCGTGAAAAAATCCTGTGTCTTGATAGCATGGATGCTGTGTGTGTGCATGTGTGTGTCTGCATTCATGCCTTAACTCGGGTTACTGCTCAACTTTAGTTCTTGACTTAGTCTGCACCATCATCTAGATTGTATTGTACATCTCGGTCTGAACTTCATCCTAGCAAAAACAAAGTTGCAGGCACAACAGTTTAAGAATGCATTCCTCCAGAAAAGTATCTGGTCAGGTTCACCCTGAGCCTTCTTTGGACTTAATTTGGAACTTAGCCTAGAAAGCAAAAGTGGACTGTCCAACAGAAAGATGTCAACAAGGAAAAGAGGAGAGCCAAGCGCTAGCATGCCTTTTGCCTCTGCATATCTGTGCACACTGTATGTTGTTCATGATAGCTTGTCTACAACTTGACTAGGTTGGAGTTCTGGTAATAGTGGCAATCTTGACATTCTTGGTCAGAGTTTAGAGAGATGTAAGACCTTCAACTAATGTCTTATTTACTCCTTTATGTTGATTAGTCTTTGATACATGTGCTGAATCAGAAACCTAAATAAAGATAATTTTTTAAAATGTAAAAAAAAAAATATAGAGTGGGTATAAATACTCTAGTATTATAATAGTTCATATGATTAGAAGTAATTTTTAAGATTTCTATATTTTATTAAATGTGATTAATATATTTTCTTAATTAAATATTAAAGAATTAGAAGGTTTATGATGCTTTAAAATTTCTGTCTAATCTCACTAACTTTTAACACTAAGTATAAAGTAGACATTATTATAATTTTATTTTTAAGCAGGATTCCACAACAGTGATTTATATCTAATTTTTACTTTATAAAATATTCAACAGCAGTCCAATTTAAATTAATGATAACAAGTTAATAGAAAAGAAATATCAAAATCTTTTGCCAGACAAAAAAAGGCCAATTTGTTAGTCTTGCCTTAATTGGGTTTCTGTTTCTTGAAGATTTTCTATTTGTTTCAACATCCTTTCTTCTTGCTTTTTGTTATTCTAAAGAAATAATGTTGTTTATATCAATTATTTTGTTTAAACAAAAATAAAATTTAAACTACTATTTAAGACCTTTATCTATCAGCATAAAATTTATTTAGTTATATATAAAGCAAAAAAATGGGCTTTTCAACTTGTATAGTTCCATACTACTTTTTTAAGCCTTACTTTAATTATTCTCCCAACAATCTCTATATAACAGTTAACAAAACAAGTATCATTTGGTTTTCCAGCGTTACTTTGAGTCTGTATCCTTTGTTCATATTGTCACTTCAAGTAATGTTTTCCATTCATTGTTACCTACTGAACTCATAATTCACCTTTTAAGACCAAAATCAATGCTATATTCTCTCAGAAGCCTTCTCTTTATCCAAAGCAGAAGTGATCCTGCAAACTCTGATAGCACCTTGTCCCACTAACAACATATATGACATACTATTTTGCTTAAGTTATGTGAGAAATTACTATTTTTTATTAAGTCATAAGTTCTTAAAGAGAAAGGGTGACATTTTATTCATCATTGTATCCTCCACAATCTTGTATGACTTAATAAATACCTATTGACTAAATACTTTTTAAAAATCTTGATGCCTAAAATTAAATTAACTTTTTCTAGTAATGGCTTCCATTTTAATTTTAATCAGAGGGTAGCCTCTGTTGCCTATTACCACCCTATAAGACCAATATGCATATTTTTCTGCTAAAACAAAGTTTTAGCTCTAAAGCAATCAGACTTTAAAGGTCAAAGGGTCTTTAGAGGTCATCTATTCTAACCTGCTAATTGGAAGAAAACTAAGTCACCAGCACTTTCTTTTTCAACTCACATTAATATCTTCTTGCTGATTCTTGAGTTCTAGGGTCATATCACTTGTTTCCTGTGTGAGCTCTTTGTTTTCTAGTGAAAGCTTGTTGCAGTGTGAAGTTAATTCAGTATTCTTAAGCCTATTTTTTAAAAAAAAAAGTCATACCAAAATATTTACAAATGTAATGACATAATATGGAATTTTATTCAACATAATGATAGGGGAAAGGGATGAAGGGCTGGGGGAAAAACATGAAACAAAATTGACTATTGGTTTATAATTCCTGAAGCTGGGTGATAGGTTGATCATTACATTATTCCTTCTAATTTTTATATTTTTGAAATTTTTCTTTACTAAATTTTCAAATGTCATACAATATATTTCCTTGCATGTTCCCTGTTTGCTCATCCTTTCATACTTTCCACAAATTTTGAAGAGCACATTATTTTCTTCAATAATTTTTTCCTCTCCATTAGACTGTCTCTTAGAAGTTATTTCAAACTTCCTATAACCTGATTAAAGTAGTACACGAAGCATTAGCTGTGTTTAATTAAGATATTTTTACCTGCACGTTGTGCACATGTACCCTAAAACTTAAAGTATTTAAAAAAAAAACTGAATTTAACTTTTTTGCACAACACCTAACTTGCTCTTAAAAGATCTCAAATGTTCTACTTTGGAAGAGAGATTATTGCTGTATTGCTTACATCCAATATCAATTTTAAATGAAGGCGGAGGAGTATGTGGCTCTACAGAGTGATTTTAGGAGCATCTATTATCTATTTCTACTTAATGATACTGGAAATTCATCAAAGAGGAGATAAAGTGTTTCACTAAGCCAATGAAAAGTTGAAAAGCAAATATACTAAGGATAACAAATTTACATTAAAGTACAAATAACTAACCAGTCCATTCATTAAAAGGGACATTAGTTAATAGATGAGTTTAACCTAGGGCCCTTAAAAAAGTACTATTGAAAAGGTACCAGAAATAGAGAATTAGATAAAAAGGAAGGGAGAGGATGCTGCATAAACTGTTTACTTCTCATATTTAATCTAGCACTGAGAAGCCACCAAAAGGGGAAAATCATGCTCACCACCACTATACTGGCTACTTGAATTTACTTTTCTCTGAGTAATAATACAATAATAATTTCCCCGCTTTCTCTCCAAATTAAACTTACTGAGTAGGTAAAATCATCCAATTCAATATTTTATTTGGATAATGTAAGAAATAATTTTTTATTTTGACACTTTATCAGCAAAAACCTATAAAATAATTTAGCAAAACAACCAAAACAACCAGTTAGAACTGAAAATGATTATTTTTATGGGGAACTAAATACCTCTAAGAAAAGTAACACATTGATCTAAAGTGGTTCTCAAATTTGGGATGTACTCTTTCTTTATGTCAGTGATATGTACTTTCTTTAGCAATGAAATTAGCACATTATTTAGATCCTTAAGAGTAAAATACAATTTCAAATCCATTCAAATAAATATTAAATATAATTTACTAAATTATTATTTATTATCAGAAAGCTTAGGAATTGAGTACATAAACTATTTTTAGATAAATGGAAAACATACTTCTCGTTTTCAAGCTCAGTTTTTAGATCTTTAACCTCTTTTGAATAATACTGTTCACTTGTGGTAATGGCAGTTAACTGTATTTCCAAATCATGTACTTCTTTCTGCAAAATAAACATATATAACTATGGCAAGTGTTTTTCGAATTTTCTCATTTAAAAGGTATAGTCACTGTGTAATTAAGTCATATATTTGGCAAAAATTTGGCAGGTTATGTCAAATATTTTAAACGAGTAAATTTAAAGTGAATAATCACTATAATTTTAAAACAATGAACAATGACATATTCAGTATAAGTAAATTCTATCTCGATATTGTAAAATTCAACCAGAAAAACATTTATATGCTATAAAATATTCTCACTCTGCCAAGTAACTAATTTCTATTAAAATGTTATATTATCAAGGAGAAATATATTAATTGATGAAATCAGGTAGTGTCTTAAAAAACTAAAATGTTCTTATTATTATAAAATAATAAGAACTATAATGTTCTTATTATTGTAAAAAGACAAGATGTAATACTGTCATGGACTGGAAACATACTTTAAAATACAAATTCTAAAACTATAACATGAGCACTATAAAAAGTACTATAAACTAAGAACCTAACTTAATGAAGTCTAAATTTCAAATGTACCAATTAAGAAATACTTGGCTAGGCATGATGGTGTGCCCCTATAATCCTAGCTACTTGAGGGGATGAGCCAGGAAGCACAGGAGTTCAAAGCTGCAGTGTGCAATGATTGTGCATTTGAATTAGCTACTTCACTCCAGCCTGGGCAACATAGCAAGACTCTGTCTCAAAAGAAAAAATACTCAAGACATCAAGAAATATCACTATTATAAACCATAGCATAATGCATCATATTGATCTTTTAAATGCTGATCTTTCTCACATTATAATATGGGGGTTGTCTAGATGTGTTTTAAATCAATCATAAATATATTAATGTAATAATAAATGCTTGGAAAGGAATTTTGTGAAGAAATCTTTAACAAAAGAAATACTTATACCATAATCCATAAATCTATGTTCTATTAACAAAATATTTAAAATAAAAATGTTTCCTTAAACAAACCTCTCTGGCTTGGAGAAGACCAATTAGTTCTTGTTCTGTTCCTTTTAATTCTTCAGCAATCTTCTCAAATTGTTTATTTTCATATAAAAGTGTTTCCTTTTCTCCCTATTTATAAACATTAACAAATCAGGAATGCCAAACCATACACATAGTGAAAGTAATCAAACTGCCCAAATGGAGCTGTGGAAAGAACTATGAGCTTCCCCCTGGCTAAAATTCTTTAAAAAGAGAAAATTAGTCAATATTAAGTAAATTCAAAGACTAAACATGATGACAGACAATTCAGTAGACACAGCCCTGGAACACAATAATTAATTGTTTAGTTACAGATGATTAATTTCTCATCATTCCTTCTACTATCCAACACAGCATATATTTATGAACTCACTTTTTACTTTGTCTTCCCAAGCATGACATCACAATGATTTTATAAAAGGCCTCACAATAAAAGGTCCTATATTATTAACCATAAAAACTACTAATTGTAGTTAAGGAGTTTGAATTTTATCTATAGACAATGTGGAATCATCATAAATGTTACTGTAACAATATATAATCCTATTTGCGATTTTAAAAGATAACACTAGCAATAGTGCAGAAGAAAGCTTAAGTAGGGCGAACCTAAAAACAAGAAAGCCAGTAATGAGACTACTGTGCCAAAACAAATGCAAGATGAAAAGTGTTTAAATTATATCAAGGACTGTGGAGACAGATTGATAACAATAACCATGGTTTCATGCTTTCAGATGACTTCTGTATGACCAGCCCTCACTAGATGCTTAAAATATATTTTCATTCTTTACACTACTCTATGGAAGTCAGATTTTTATGTCTCCATTTGAAGGATCAAAAAATAGAAGCAGTCTTTTAGCTTTCAGTATGTCACTATAATCTCATGCCCAGAGACCAACTCTCCCACTGAAAACTTCTATAAACTCTGGACAAAATACATAAATACATATAAACGTGTGTGTGTGTGTGTGTGTGTGTGTGTGTGTGTGTGTGTACAGCAAGGGAGAGAGAGGGAAAGAAGGAAGGAGGGAGGGAGGGCGGGGGAGAGAGAGAGAGAGACAATATATAACCTAAGGATTTTAACAAGTAAAAAAAAAATTAACACAAGTGGCTGGAAGAGGAGTGAGTTTGTCAGTTTTGGTAGCTTTGTCCCAATGGTGAAATGTCACTGCTAAGCAGTGTGGTATAGGCAGCTAAAACTACAATAGAAACCCCACCATCTCTCTTGCTAGAGGAACCTGGTAGAACCAGGGAAAGGAGCCCTGGGACCCACAACCAGCTGCCAGAATATAAAGGAGAAATCATACAGAACAAAGAACCACTGAAAGTAATCTCCTGATTCTATGTATGAATACTACACAAATTTAAAAACAACCCATGAAGCATACATTCATATACAGAGTCAAAAGTAGTACACCAAAGGCTCAGAGAATTAAACTAAGATTTGAAGCACCATTTATAGAAGGTGAGATAAAGTTTATTTTTGAATCTAGCAAACTGATAGATAAAACAAAAACATTTACATTATTCAGAAGAATGTAACAGAATCTACATAATATAACCTTCACAATGTCCTGAATATAATCCAAAATTATTCAACATACAAAGAACTGGTAAAATGTCAACATTCTCAAGGGAAAAGGCAACAGATATATGCTAACCCCAGTATAACCAAGATGTGAGAACTTTATCAGATGAGAACTTTAATGCAGCTAATTCAGTTTTGCTCAATCAGGTATAGGAAATACTCTTAAAATGAATAAAAAGATAGAAAATCTAAGGAAAGAAATAGAAAATAAGAACAAATGGAAATTTTAGAGCTGGTAAAAAAAAATTCATTGAATGCTCATGGGAGCACAATGGAGATTACAAGGAAAGAGACAGTGAATCTGACTATCAGAACAACAGAATCGATAGTCTGAAGAATACAGAGAAAAAACATTGAAATAAAATGAATAGCACCTCAGGAACCCGTGGAACAATATAAAAAGATCAAATCAATGTATAATTGTAATCTTAGAAGGAGAAGACAGCAAAAATAGGGCAGAAAAATATTTAAATGGCCAAAACTTCCCATATTTGAAGAAAGTTAAAAATTTACAGATTTATGAAGTGCAGTGAATCTCAAATATAATAATTCAACTTCACTTACATACTGCTGAAAATCAAAGTTAGGGAGAAAATCTTGAAAGCATGTGAGTCTCTCATTAGAAAACATGGAGGATCAAAGACAATAAGACATCATCTTTAAGGTGCTGAAAGAAACAAAACTGTCAACCCACAATCCTATAACAAAAAAAAAAAAAAATCCTTCCAGAATGAAGAGTAAATAAATAATATATTCAAAAAGAAAAACTAAGAAAATTTGTCAGCAGCAAAACTGCACTACAAGAAATACTAAAGGAAGTTCTTTAGGCTGAAGGAGAACAATATTAGAGGTAAACGTGGATCTTCAGGAAAAAATAAAGAATATCACAACTGGTAAATATTGCAATAAATATAAAAGATCATTTTTCTTCAAGTTATTTAAAAAACATATGACTACTAAAGCAAAAATTATAGCACTGTCTTGGAAGATGTAAATGCATGTAGGTGTAATATATATGACAACTCTAGCATAAAGGACAAAGTGGGAAAAGGACATAAATAGGGAGGCCGAGGCGGGTGGATCACGAGGTCAGGAGATCGAGACCATCCTGGCTAACACGGTGAAACCCCATCTCTACTAAAAATACAAAAAATTAGCCAGGCGTCATGGCGGGCGCCTGTAGTCCCAGCTACTCGGGAGGCTGAGGCAGGAGAACGGCATGAACCCAGGAGGCGGAGCTTGCAGTGAGCGGAGATCATGCCACTGCACTCCAGCCTGGGCAACAGAGCAAGACTCCATCTAAAAAAAAAAAAAAAAAAGTTTCAACATTTAACATGAAGTGGTACAATATTAACTCAATATAGACAAGGTAATGGATACATGCTGTAATCCTTAGAACAGCCACAAAAATAAATGCAGAGAAGTATAGATAAAATACCAGTAGATACATTAAAACGGAATGCCAAAAAATATTCAAATAACCCAAAAGAAGGCAGAGAGTTTAAAAGAGGAACAAAACAAAGGAGCAAACGGAAAACAACTTTTAAATGGTGAATCTAATCTAAGCCACATCAACACTTAAACAACAATTTTTAAAGATATCAATGGTCTAAATTCTCCAATTAGCAGTGATTGTCGGAGTGCATAAAGAAAGAAGACCCAATTATATGCAGGCTACATATAAGCACATATGTACAAATATAAAGTCAAATGTAGGTTGTAAGATATATCATGCAAACAACAAGCATAAGAAACATGGAGTGGCTATAATAATATGTTAAAATAGACTTTAAAACAAAAAAGTATTATCAGAAATTGAGGGCATTTAATTATAATCAAAGGGTCAATTCATCAAGAAGATATGGTAGTTAGATATAAATGTGAAGTTTATAGCAGAAGTTCAAAACACACGAAGCAATCACTGATAGAATTAAATAGATAAATAAACAATTCCAAAATCCTACTAGTTTTAACTCTTCTCTCAGTAAATAATAGAATTAGACCCAAAAATTCAATTAAAAACATATATTTGTACAACACCATCAGCCAACTGAGCCTAATTGACAATTACAGAACACTCTACCTAACAATAGCAGAATACATATTATTTTCAGTGCACATGGAACATTCACTAAGATATATCATATCTGATACATAAAACAAACCTTAAGAAATTTTTTACAAAAGTACATTCTCTGACCATAACAAAGTTAAACTAGGAAAGAATAACAAAAAATAACAGGAAATTCTCCAAATACATGGAAATTGAACAATAGACTTCTAAATGGGATCAAAGGAAAACCCTCAAGAGAAATTTAAAACTATTTTAAACTAAATGAGAATACAACACATAAAAATTTGTGAAATGCAGCTGAAAAGGTGACTAGAGGAAATTTATAGCATGCAAATGCTTACAAAAAAGAAAGGTCTCAAAACAATCTAAACTTCCACCTTAGGAATCTAGAAAGAGAGCAAAATAAACTCAAAGTAGCAGAAGGAAGGAAATAATAAAGATATGAGCAGAAAACAATGAGATTGAAAACAGAAAAACAATAGAAAGAATCAATGAAATATAAACTAATTATTTGAAAAGATCTATGAAATTAAGAAACCTCTACCAGACTAATAAAAAAGGGGCCGGTCACGGTGGCTCACACTTGTAATCCCAGCACTTTGGGAGGTCAAGGCGGGTGCATCACTTGAGGTCAGGAGTTCGAGACCAGCCTGGCCAATACGGTGAAACCCCATCTCTACTAAAAATACAAAAAATTAGTAGGGTGTGGTAGTGCATGCCTATAATCCCAGCTACTCAGGAGGCTGAAGCAGGAGAATGACTTGAACCCAGGAGGTGTAGGTTGCAGTGAGCCTAGATCATGCCATTGCACTCCAGCCTGGGTGACAGAACAAGACTCCATCTCCAAAAAAAAAGAGACAAAAAAGAGAAATGACACAACAACCAATATCAGTAACAAAAAGAAGGTAATCCTACAGACTGTACAGATATTTAAAAGGATAACAGGAAATGCTACAAAAAATTCTATGCACAGAAATTTGACAACTTGGGGGAAATGGACTAATTTCTTTAAAACCAAAAACTACCAAAATCATTCAAGATTAAACAGGTAACCTGCATAGTTCTATAACAATAAAAAAAATTAAATCCATAGTGAAGACCTTGCCAAAAAGAAATCTCTAGACCCAAGTGGTTTCACTAGAGAATTCTACCACTTAAAGAAGAAATTATACCAATTTTACACAATCTCTTCCAGAAAACAGAAAAGAAACAAAAGCTTCTATGGAGCATAAAACAACTCTATCTTGGAAGCTAATCTACCATGTTGGCTTCTGCTTAACCCCTGTTCCAGAAAGTCCTCTAAGATTTCCAGTTTATCTATTGTTCCTTGTGTACAAGAAGGTACTTCCCGTAAATCCTGCCCTTAGGACATATTTCTAGTATTGCCTCTGAAGCACATGTACCCCTCCTCTAAGGTATATAATCCTTGGGTCTGGGGGTTAACGATGCAGGGATTCATCATCTTGTCTTACCACTACTTGAGACACACATGGCTTCTGTTTGTAAGTCCCTATTAAATGTTTCCAAGAAACTGGATTTATAAGCCTCTTTCTTCAGCCTCTAAGCTTCTTTGAACTTTGGAATAGGTTTGCAAAGACCTGCCTCTGTGAAACAGCTTCTCAGTTCATTTTACAAAGCCAGCATTACTTTGTCTCCAAAACCAGACACAGATAGCAAAAGAAAAGAAATCTACAGACCAATATCTCTTATGAACTCAAATATAAAAATCCTCAGCAAAATATTAACAAATAAAATTCAGTGAAATAGAAAAAAAGTACAATACTCAACACCAAATGGGGTTTATCCTGGAAATGCAAGGTTCATTCAATATTTGTAAATCAATGAATACACCACATTAATGGTCTAAAGAAGAAAAACCACATGATCATATAAATTGACACAGAAAAAGCGTTTCACACAATTCAACTTCAATTCATAATATAAACTTTCAGTGAACTAGAAATACAAGAGAACTTTCTACAAAAAACCTGCAAGTAACATCATAACTTAATGGTAAAACACTGAATGTTTTTCTCTTAAGATCAGGATATCAAAGATTTACAAGCTCACCACTGTTATTCAGCATACTGGCAGTCTGAGGCCATGCAATAAGGCAAGAAAAAGAAATCAAATGCCTATTTGGTAGTTATTTAAAATACCTGCAAAAAGAGAAATACTTAGGTATAAACCTAATATAACATTTACAGTACTGTATGCTGAATACTGCAAAATGCTAATGAAATAAATCATTATAAAGAAGATCTATAAAAATAGAAACAGATACTACGTTCATGTACTAGAAGATTCAACGTACTAATGATGTCAGTTCAACCTGAATTAATCTATATATTTCACACAATTCCAATAAAAATTTCAGCAAGAGTTTTTTAAGGTATAGAAAAGCTAATTCTAGGCGGGGCGAGGTGGCTCACACCTGTAATCCCAGCACTTTGGGAGGCCGAGGTGGGCAGATCACAAGGTCAGGAGATCGAGACCATCCTGGCTAACACGGTGAAACCCCATCTCTACTAAAAATACAAAAAAGTAGCCAGGCGTGGTGGTGGGCACCTGTAGTCCCAGCTACTCGGGAGGCTGAGACAGGAGAATGGCATGAATCTGGGAGGTGGAGCTTGCAGTGAGCCAAGATCGCACCACTGCACTCCAGCCTGGGCAACAGAGCAAGACTCCGTCTCAAAAAAAAAAAAAAGAAAGAAAGAAAAGCTAATTATAAAATTTATATGGAAATGTAAAGGAACTAGAATAGCTACAACAATTTTGAAAATGAATAATAAAGTTGGAGGAATCACATTACTCAATTCTAAGACTTAGTATTAAATCTACAGTAATCAAGACACTGCAATATTGGCAAATGAATAGACAAATACACCAAGAAAATGTAAGAGAGTCCAGAAATAGACCCATACAAACATGGCCAATTGATTTTTATAATAAATGTGCAAAAGCAATTCAATGGAGAAAGGAGAGTATTTTAAACAAATGGTAATGTCATCCTACATCACTTTTTCTCACTACTACTACGACCTCCCAGACTAAGCCACCATCATCTCTCCTCTGGCTACTGTGATTGTCTGTCTACTCTTAACTGTTCTGCCTTAATACACTATTCTCCTTCAGGCCAAATGTGCTTTTTGAAATGCAAATCTGATCAAGTCACTCCCTGCTAAAATCATCTGGAGTGTCCCATCCCTCTTAGGATAAATACAAAATTCCTTTGATATGATTTACAAGGCCATGAATTGTAAGGCTCCTATCTAACTCTCCAGCAGCATCTTTCACTTCATCATGTACTCACCATACTCCCTCCCATGAAAAGAATCTTAGCATGTTTCCTCTATCTGATATGCTGTATTTTTTCTCCAGATTTCAGTTCAATCCTTACTTCTTCAAAAAAGCCTATCCTAACCTAACTAGTTCAAGTCCTTTTATCATAGGCCTCATCATACTATGAACTAATCCTTTAATGCCCTTGTCACCATTGTAATGTTACATTTCAATGAGTGATTGAATTTAAGTGTGACTACTTGATGGCTGTTGTTCCATGAAGGCAGTATATGGGTCCATTTGCTCCCCACTGTATCCCCAGAGTTTTAGCATAATTAAAACTCAACAAATGTTTGTTTTTGTTCTTCAGACAGGGTCCACTCTGTTGCCCAGGCTGGAGTGCAGTGGTTCAATCTCAGCTCACTGCAACCTCCGCCTCCCGGGCTCAAGCGATTCTCTGTCTCAGCCTCCCAAGTAGCTGGGATTATAGTCACACTGCCACCACGCCCAGCTAATTTTTGTATTTTTAGTAGAGACAGGGTTTTGCCATACTGTCTAGGCCGATCTCGAACTCCTGGCCTCAAGTGATCCGCTCACCTCAGCTTCCCAAAGTGCTGAGATTACAGGTGTGAGCCAGCATGCCCAGCTGAAAAACTCAACAAATGTTTGTTAAATGAGTAAGTGAATTGTCTTATTTATTCCTCACAATCACCCTATGAAATATGTACAATTATTTTTTCCATTTCATAGATGGAAAAACTGAGGCATCAAGAGTTTAGGTAAACTGCTCTTGATCATATAGCTAACAAGTAAAGAGCTGCACACCAATCAAGACATTCTGATCCTGAGAATCCAGATATTGATGTTGTTCATATATAATGAGACGGCCAAGTAAAAAGAGCACCCTGGAGAACCTCCGATAAGCCTGCCCACTGGGAGGACAGGGCGGGGCCTCAGGAAGCTCCTGCCGTTTGCGGGGTGGGGGATGAACTTGACCCCTCCTGCTCTTATGTGGTAACCAGGGATTCAATCTGTGATGCAGAAAGCCTGCTAGCAGGACTCTCTCTTTGCTGAGAGTCCCTGTGGCCCTTTTTGTCCTTTTCACCCAATAAACCCTGCCCTACTCACCCTTTAAAGTGTCTGCAAGCCTAATCTTTCCTGATCCTGCGACAAGAACCCGGTTTTTCCTACAACATATTGTTTGAGAAACATAAGGCTTGAGAAAGGGTGAGTGAAATGCAAACCAAAAAAAAACATCTTTTTCTCTTTCGCTTCTAAGCCTTTTTTCCTTCGGATTTCTTCTGAGGATAGAGGAAACTGTACCCCTACTCCCATTGCTCCCGGAGATCTGGAATGTCGGCCTCAGTCCAACCCAGCCTTTCCATGGCCTTTTCTTTCTTTTTTTGGTACAGATGGGCGAGCAGCAGTTCCCCGCCGCCCTCCCCTCCCCGTTGGGAAGCATGACCCAAGGGCCCCACGAGGCTGGCTGGCACTCCCTGCCAAGCGCCCGTGGAGTCTCCCCCTCCCCCAGCCAAGGAGTCCAGCTCCATCCCACAGCAATTATGCTTCTCTCCCTAGTGGAGGAACAACTTGCATAAGAATAATAAGTTCTTCCCCCAGGCATCCTTTTCTCTTCACCCTGTCAGCAGTTAACACAGCCCAGCATCTAAGCTGTCTCATCCTTTTCTCTACCTTGTCAGCAGGTAACTTTTAAACCAGGTTTTTTTCTTTTTGGAAGACATTTTGCTGGGCCAGGAATGATGGGGATCACTATTTATATTTTCTGTAGTTTTAGTTGTGAGAAAGGATTTGTGAGGTTCGTCTTAAGCTGCAACCAATCTAGCGTGCTTTGCATGACTTTCTGTATAGTCCTCAGCAAATTTTGCTGCAGGCCTCCATCTTGCTGTCCTTGGGAGCAAGACCTGTAACCACATAGCAATGTTTTATTCTAGCCTTTGCCATTTTACAATGGTGGCCCCAGGTTCAATCCTAGCTTAGCGAATGAGTCCTTTATGGTTTCATATCTGCATAACCTTTTGCTGCTTATTGACTCTCTTCCCCTCCACGCACTGCCTTGGATTTTCCTTTCTCTGAGCCTTTAGTAAAGTTTGAAAGCCAGAAGTATTGGTAGCTTGGCCCAACTAAAGTTGGCTAATAATGGAGTTAAAAGGATTTTCTTAAGGAGTACTCAGCTTAATTAAAGTGGATATCCAAGTTATAGCTCTATTTATAAGGCCTTTATGTTTTCCTTTTATTGGACCTTGTTTTTCTGGGAAAAGGTTTTTTTCAGTTGACTAAATTATTTTTCTCGATTTTGCCTTGCCACTTTTAATGCACATCTGAGTGGGGAGAGACCTCTGCTATCCTCATGGAACCCCAGGAATTAAAAGCAGATAGATTCCTCTCCCCATTTGAAAAGATCTTATGACAACTGGGGTTTCTTCTGCCTATGTAGTTACATATGTGTGATGTCTCTAAAAAGAGCTCTAATTAATTGGCTTAAAGGAAGATAAGTGCTTGGATCAAATATTTTTTAAAGGGAAGATAAAAGCTGTGGTACCTTTCAGTTCATATAACTTTAATCTTTGTAAAATAAAGACTGACTTAAAGATTATTGGTAAAAAGCAGATATCATCAAAATATAAATAGGTGGACTAAATTATGCAGGTCAGATGCAAGGTTTGTTAAGTGTTTTAAGGTTATAAACTGCTTTTTGGTTTTTGAGAACTGTTCAACTTGGTAAGGCATGGGGACATATGGAACTAACCACACCCTTAATTATGCAGGAAGAAGTCAAACCTTAGCTGCTCCTAGCACATACTCAAAACAACTTACCAGATTTTACATTGAAGTTAAAAATTGCTAAAAGTTACTATTATGACATGTAATTGAGACTACTGGAAATAGATTTACATGTGAGGTGTGTAAGAACAGTAAAATGTGTTTTTAATAAAAGGTTATAAGAGGCTAGGCGCAGTGGCTCATGCCTGTAATCCCAGCACTTCGGGAGGCCGAGGGAGGTGGATCACTTGTGGTCAGGAATTTGAGACCAGCCTGGCCAACATGGCAAAATCCCATCTCTACAAAAAATACAAAAATTAGCCAGGCATGGTGGTGGGCGCCTATAATCCCAGCTACTCAGGAGGCTCAGGCAGGAAAATCACTTGAACCTGGGAGGCAGAGGTTGCAGTGAGCTGAGATCACGCCACCGCACTCCAGCCTGGGTGACAGAGCGAAATTCCATCTCAAAAAAAAAAATGTTATAAGAAGGCATTAAAAATGTAAATTGTTGCCTAAGGTTAAAGAATTGTTTCAAATTAGATAAAATAAAGTTAAAAGTTCAAACAAGTGGTGGAAGGATTGTAAAAACTAATCTTGCAAAAACTCTGTGTGTGCATATATTGACTAAATTCAAAAAGGCATTATAGGGTTTTTCTGTAAATTGAGCATTAAAATAAAAGCACAACGAAGTATTCATAAGGCACTAATCTGCTCTTAAGCAAAATTTGTAACAGGTTATAAAAGTTTCTGAATCACGACTTTGGCAAAATAAATGATTTATGTCATCTGGAATTCTATTTCATAACATTAAGTGTTTTCAACCTCTAACATATTTTACAGGCTTCCCAAAATCAAACTTCAGTTTCAAAATTGCCTTTCCTGACGCCAGGCTTTTCCGATGCTTCAGAAGGGCCTCTGGAGTATCCAGAAAAGAGGTAAACAGGATTATGTGACATGTTTACTTACATAGGATTGCCAAAATGGTGTTCAATATTCTTTAGGTTATATTTTGGTGAATAATACTAATATATGTTCCCAAATTGTATGGGATTTCTAAAATTCTAATGTCTGAGTATACTATCAATCACAATTAAGGTTAAGTTATTGTAAACCACGGAGGTACCAAACTTCTTTGTCAATTGTGTTTCTAATTGTAACTACCCTGGACATTTCGTTATTCACAGACAATTGTTGTCTTGTTTTAATTCTTTTCAAAAGATGGTTTATAATAAGCTATAGAACTTTGACAGGTGCTCTCAAATACAGGTCTGATAACTTTGAAGATTATGACACTGGAATAAAGGGAAATGTACAGAATTCATGAAGAGCTAAAATGTTCATGAATATCAAGGAAAAGAAGAGCTAACTGAATGAATTCAGAAAACTGAAGCAATCTTTTTGACTTTTGCTTGGAATATTGCTGATCCTTGTTTTGTTTTTCAGAGTAAAGGAAACATTTTGGACTATTTACAGCCTTTAATAATTGAGTAAGGTATACTCTTGTGAACAAAATTTAGAGCATGTTTATTTCTCTCTGCCTGGTTCCTCTAGAATTTGGAAACTATCTGTGTGTATTCTTAACTTACGGCAATATAGTTGTTTGCATCAGTGCAATAAGAATTCATTTTCTTTTGCAACAGGATGCAATTAAAGAAACTGGTTGTTTTACCAAGGCTTTGACTGGAAGGGTATGCTTCCCTTTAAGCAGTCAAACTTGACTTGCAGAGCCAATAAAAGCCCCTTGGGAAAAAACTGGCCTCACACCGTTGTCTGCACAGCCCCATACAGGGTTCCTGACCTGTGGTCAGTAAAGAATGTCACTTTCTAACAGGCCAGGAGTTCCAAGTATATCTTGGGACCTTAGAAGGAGAGGATTACCCAACTCAGAGGTATTTGAGGATACAAATCCATGGCTGGGCCTAGCTTTAAAAGGTCTTATCTGAGATTCCTTGTGGAACAGAGTACCATCAAAGCCAATCTAGAAGTCCTATGTAGAAATAGTTATTCTTGCTGTACTTTATGCAAAAAATCAGGCCAAGTATAAGACTAAAGTCTATTTTGCAAACAACTCAGTCCTATCATGATTTGTTTTTTTAGCAAAAATGAGGACTGGAGAGAGAGAAATTATGTTTCAAAATTTATCATACATTTGTCATTACTTTCTAAACTCATTAGTTGTTTTTAAGTTTTTGCCTACATTTTAGACTAATCCTGCTTGTTCCTATGAACCAAGCAGCATTCTCCAGATGTGGCTCAGAAGGAAGAAAAGGGGATGGGTAATGTAAAAATCTGGATCAATATTCTAGTTCTGAGCAATTATCTTGCAAATCCGGACAGATGATGGGAATAAATAAGGTGCCCATCACCTGGAGGTTTCTTTTTTGGGAAAGTAAGACCAAGGGAGCTAGCCAAAGCCAAGCACAATGCACCCAAATCTTAGCAAGCATAATGATAGCCACCAGTTATCTGGGCATGTCATAAGACATCCTTTTCTCTCCCTTGTTGGAGGAAAACTCAGTTCCACAGTGTTACCTTAGCATTCAGCTTACGATAAGGAGTCCATGCAACACCCCTGAGACACATTTTGGTCCCAAACTCAATTCCAAGCTTTGGGTCAAAGCACTAGGAAAGAAAACTGGATCCAGAGGCTGACAATAAGGGAAGTTAAAAGGCACAGTGCAGGTGAGTGTGGCTGATTCCTGCCAATTAAGCCAAGCTTCCCATTTCATGGATAAAGTCTATGCTCACATCCATGACATAAATGAGGTCTAGGGAATTCAAAGGCTACTGACAGCAGGGGAGACATAGCATATGTGGGTAAGAGCAGATACTTCCACCCTCTAGGCTCCCCTGTTAACATGAGTGAAAGCCACTAAAACACCAATGGGTGGTACCTGTCATGGTTGCCAGGACTCAGGGATGCAAGAACAGAGGAAAGAAAGAGGAATGCCTCACTTTCCCTCCCTCACATATCCCTGGTATTTGCTAGTGATGCCTGCTCTCCTTTTTCTAGATGAGTAGCCATTCATCTTCAGTCTGTACCCCTTTCAAATGCATCCTGAACTCCTGGGACTCCTTTGGAAAAAAACCTTGTTTTTTCCTTTTTCCTCCTATCTCCTCTCTTCGCTGATAGGTAATTGTGTCTCTGTACTATGGGAGATTCCCCTCAGATGCATCCTCCAAACTGGGAAGAGTTAATTTCTCAAACCTTAAACTGGTCAGCTTAGGATTGGGCTCAGGGGAAGGGAACCTAGAAGCCTGACATACCAGCAAAAGGGTAAAAGTTTTTCTTACCAGTCAGGCTTTTGGCCCTCCCTTCCCTGTGCAAACTGGTAAAAGGCCTTGGGATTTTTGAGCTGTCCTTACCACCTACCCCACATTTTATTTTGATACATATTTTCTAATAACCCTGTTTGTGTCTTCTCACCTTCAGGCCATCAAACAAACTCCAAAACGGTCATGCAACCAGAGCTTCAGACATTGGCCCCTTTTGCCAGGAATCCTTAGATATGTCTCTGAGGGAGATCTGACTGCTGTTTTCCCAAAACAGCACCTCCTGTCAGCAGGAAGCAATTAAGATTGGTCTTTGTCCTTATCCTTATCCTTATTCTAATGGCAGTTAGATGTACTTCTTTAGAATGGAGAAGGTAAAAAGGTCTCCAAGTAAAAAGGTCTCCCCGGAGAACCTCCGACCAGCCTGTGCACTGGGAGGACAGGCTGGGGCCTTGGGAAGTTCATGCCATTTGCAAGAAAGAGGAGCCTGACCCCTCCTATTCCTGTGTGGTAACTGGGGATTCAATCTGTGAGGCAGAAAGCTTGCTAGCAGCACTCTCACTTTGCTGACAGTCCCTGTTTCCCTTTTTTCACTTTTCACCAAATAAAGCCTGCCTTACACACCCTTCAAAATGTCTGCGAGCCTAATCTTTCCTGGTCATGTGACAAGAACCTAGTTTTTTCCTACAACAATAACAAAACCTCCAAACCAGTCCTTGTCCATGCAGAAGTGAATCGTTATATAAAAGCCAATGCTTTAGTATTCATTCAACAAATATTTATAAAGTGTTACAAAGTGTCACTTTCTGTGCTAAGTACTAGAGTTACAAGGTAAACAACACAAAGGCTCCTAACCCTTATTGAAGCATACATTCATTCCACTATTTATTTATTGAGCACCTACTATGTGCCAGCCACTATGCTAGGTAAGGAGTCTAAAGGGTGAATAAAGCCTTAAATAATAATACCAAAAATAAATGAATTTCATTTGTGATAAGTGTTACAAAGGAAAAATTCAGGGTGCTATGGAAATAAGCCATACAAAGACCTAAACCTAGCCTAGAGTATCAAGAGAGGTTTCATAAAGCACTGACATTTAAGCTAAGACTTGTATAAGTATGCATTAATAAATCTGAAAGCACTGAAAACATTATTATTAGTTACAAAGAGTTTGTCCCGGAGCAATTAAATGGAGAAAAGAAAAATATTTTAAAATAATGCTCCCCAAGGGACAGAAGAACTAGGAGCTGCAAAATCAGGTAGAGATGTGATAGGTAAACACAAAATCAATTATCAGTCATCATAAACAATATTATATTCTACATCAGGGGCCAGAAAACTGCAGTATGCAAGACAAATTCAGCCTGCAGTCTGTTTTCCTAGACCCTTAAGCTAGGAATGGTTTTTATATTTTTACAAGGTTCTTAAAAATAAAAGAGAGAAGGCAGAGGAGGCAAAGGCAGAGAAGGAGAAAAGAGAGACCATGTATGGCCCACAAACTGTAAAATATTTACTATCTAGTCCTCTACAGACAGTTTGCTGACCCATGTTCTATATACTGTAATCAATTAAAATACAATGAAATTTTACCCTACATCTTCACTAAACATGATTTTACCTGAACATTAAATATAGGTACTGAATATATATCATACACCTTTTTCAAAATTGCATCTTTATTGTTCAAAGGGTACAACATCCAAAATTACCAAATTTACAATCAGCTACATAACATGCAAATTTGATCTTAGTGTGCTATCAACACATATTCAAATGATATAAACAGCTTGATGAAGACAGTTAACAAGGTATATAAAAATTGGTCTAAAAAATGCATCTTTACTTAAAACCAAATATAATTTTTACATTTTAGCTGAAAAAATTAGTATAAAACATCTATAGTGTGAGAGTCTATAAGTTAAGGGATTCAATATTCTTCTGAAAAGTAATTGCTATATATTAATAGGAAAGACTATACTTACCAAGACTTTTTTCAATTCTTCAAGTTCTACTTCTTTGTTATTTGTAAGCTTAGTCATCTCTTCTAAAATGAGCAAAAAAAAAATGTGTTAAAAAGCTGGATTAAAAGAATAGGAAAAGAGACAGAAGGAACAAGCATAATACTACGCAAAAGGGAAAAATCAGGAGAGACAAATGCAACTAGAGCAATGTAAAGCATAGAGGGAGTCCAAATCTAACTATGAAAAGCTAATAAAAGATAAATATTAATAGTAATGTTTCTCTAAAGTTAATGCCATTGCCAAATAACCCAAAGTTCATAAAGCAAAATAAGCAATAAATCTATATAAAATATATTTGAAATGAGGTCAGAATGTACATTTACCTTCAACTCATCACTGTCTAAACATCTGACATTTTAATCTTCACTCCAAACTTAAAAGAAGTGATTCTCTTTTCTCAAGCTAACTCTGAGCATTGTACTTTGGATTCAACATTCCCACCTCCTCTGAGACTCTGCCCTTACGCTACCAATATACACAGATTCTATGTAGAGGAATCTTTAATTTCCCTTATCTCGTCTAAACATTCTATTTGATTATAAAACAATATCTGACCTTTCTGCTCTTTCAAGCAGCTATCAAATTTCTTAGTTTGTTTTTCCAACAAATTCCTATTTGTTACCTACACATTTCATTTTGAACTCCAAGTAAAACTAATGCTTATCACCATAATAATAAAATTGTCATCTTAAGGATCACCAATAACCATTTTGTGATACAATTCTTAAGTCTTCATCATTGTGGAGGTTTGTACTATTTGATACTATTAACTTCTCCCCATTTTTTCCTCTTTGATTTTGCACTATTCATATGTCCTGTTTCCTCTCTACCTCCTGTTCTTGTTTTCTTTGCTGACAGCCTTCTTTCTTGCCATCCTAAAAAATAAAGCCCAATGTTTTTCTTTCTACAGTTCCATGAGTTCAACATTATGCTAATAAATTGAAAAATCTTTCCAGCCCAAGCCTCCCGCATTTTTCAACTTTCTTATATTTTTAACCTGCCCACAAAAAATTAAACCAAAAAAGAAACTGCCTACAGAGTTCCCTAATATGTCCAGCTGTCAGCTAAAAATTTATTGTGTCTGAAATATTGTCCTTCCTCACTGTTAAGGGTCCTTATTGATTAATGGAAATGTAATAGACTTACTGAAAATTTCTCAAACTCTGTACATTTTTTAAAACACTTGTAATAATTGTCCACAGTCTTTAAAGAAAATTAACAAAATATAAAATGTCAATATAGAATCCAAAAGAAAAACCTGGCGTATACATAGCTTATTTAACTAGAAAGTGTTATTTCAGGTAAAAATACTTAATTTTTAAAAACTCAAAAATTGATTAAAGACAGTGGACTGAGCATGTCTCTATATGTTCTCTCACCCCAATCCCACAAAATTAGAAAAAAAAGTACGAGAAAAAATATATATAAAAGAACAACATTAACAAAATAAGAGACTATCATTAACAAACCAGAAAATTAACGAATCCTTGGAGAAAAAAAAAAAACAACTCACACTAATTCAATGAAGGCTATGTGGAACAAGACCAAGTGACCATACCTCTCACCACAAAGCCCACCTCAGGATAAAGTAAGGATCCTAGGAATTTGGGTGGCAGATGAGGTAGTGTTACAAATAGCTTATTATTCTTAAGCAAGATAAACATCCCCTATAGTAAAAGACAAGCTGCTATGCCCACCTTTCCCCACAGCAACTCCCACTCACTCCCATAATCAGAAGAATTAGATTGTAATACACAAGTGGGAAAAGAAGAATACTTATACTTAGAGAGTCAACAATCAGGTACCAACAATTTGTGAAGAAAAGCAAAACAATGAAAAAGAAAGCTCCAAATTAAACTGTGAAAAAAACTAAAACCCAAAGAAAAAGAGTTAATAGAGTGAACAGAAACAGATATTTGACTAAGTATAGTGTTCCAACAGGATACCAGATCCCTGAAATAGATTACCTAGAGCTCTTAGAAATTTAAAATTTGACAACTGAGATTTTGAAAATAGCAAAACAGACATATTTAAAGATTGAATTAGCAAGGGAGAAACAAATTTAGATAGAGAGATAGAGATAGAGATGAGATAGATAGAGATACAGATACAGATACAGATGGAGATACAGATAAAGATAGAGATGAGATAGAGATACAGATACAGATACAGATGGAGATACAGATAAAGATAGAGATACAGACAGAGATAGGATAGAGATACCTCCCAATTCAGGAAAAAGAACAAAGAGGTAGAAAATGTAAGACGAAAGTTTAAAAACAAGAAAGGCTTCAAGATGGCTGACTAGAGGCATCTGCCCACTCACCTCCTCCACAAAGAATAACTAAATTAGTGAGTAGATAAATTACACTTCAAATAGATCCTCTAAGAAAGAACACTGGAATTCAAAAGAGATGTGTCAGGAAACACCTAAGGCAAGGAAGGGTCCTTTGGACCCTGAGATTAACATAGGTAGCTGCCTAGAGATCTCACAAAGGCATTGCTCCATAGAGGGAATTTATGCTGGGTCCCACCCACCCTCTGAGTTCTAAGCAGCTATAGCCCCGTACCATTTTGAGAGCCCAGCCCCCAGGAGACTACATCCTGCTCTGGGGCCCAAAAACCCCCGCATCTCCATATCCCTGGAGCCCCACTGACATCCCCCACCTGCCAATACTCACTGCTGGCTACTGCTACCAAGACTGAAGTGCACCCCACTGGCAGCAACCCTGCCCCCTACCAACAGCAGGACTGCAGCACATCTTCCCGTGCGTGCGCCAGGAAAAGGCTCCCGCTCCTGCAGCTGCTACTACTGGCTGCTGCTGCTGGAGCCAAAGCATAAGCCAATGGCATCAATCCCATGTCACCCCAGCAGAAGGGCCATCACACATTTGCAAACACCCCAAGGACAAGCTACCTTGCTCACAGCCACAACCTCTGCCACTGCCAGCTACCAGGTGAAGCCAGAACCACTAGCAGCAACCTCACTGCCCCCAGCAGCGGGGTCACATGCCCTGAGTACAGGCTCACGGACAGCTGATGCCTGGGGCTGAAGCGCACACTCCTCAGAGGCCTGCCTATAGCTGCTGCCACCTACAACAATCGCACACTCCCTGGCAGCAGGGCCGCAGCACACTTGCACATGCTCTAAGGGCAGGCTCTCCCAGCTCACCACAACTGCTGCAGCACTCACCTGAGTGCTCCATCAGGGGCATAGGAATCACCCCACCCCTGCCCACCAGAGCCAGCACCTATAAACACAACTGGGAAGCCTGAAGATAGGCCCACGAGGACTATCTCTGCTCCCTCAAGTGCCTGAGTACACTGTCCAAGAGCCTAGGGATCACACTGCCCCATCCACCACCATTAGCACCTAAGCACTCCTCCTGGGTGCCTGATGAAGGGTCAGCCAGGCCTGCCACTACCACCACAGCTGGCACTCACCCATATGCGCTTGCCTGTAGGCCTGCGGACTGGCCCACACAGTCCATTGCAGCCACCGCATTGCATCATTTTTATTTCCTTCATAGCACTTATCCCAATTTATAATTAAATATTTATTTGTGATTATTTGTTTTGTATGTCTCTCCAAGAAGAGTGCAAACCTCATGAGAACAAATACCATGTCTGTTACATTCCTCATTACATATCCAAGGCTAAATAAGGAATAAACATCTAAGCCTTAGTTCAATAGTTATTATATTATATATCTGATAATCAAAGCAGAAGCAATAGAACCTACTAGGAGGGGAATCTGTTACATACCAAATTGAAAGCAAAGATAGATCCAGATATGGAAAAATGAGTACAAGAATAAGACACATTTACAGCAATATTAGACTGAATTGAAGATGGGCAACGCATGAAGCAGCAAAGAAAACTGTAACAAGTTAAGAAACTGAGAAAAAATTACTTGCCAAAGATTTCCTATTGCAGTTGACTTCAACTCACTTGGTATGCAGTACTCCCACTCTTTAAATGAACAATGAAAAGATAACTGATATCTAAGTAGTTTGAACTTAGGCAATGAGATGCCTCTTAAATTTGCCACATAGAATAATCATATTTGTATTTTTAAAGAAACACTCTAGCAGCAATGTAGAAAATGAGCAAAAGGTGGCTATCCTAGAAAGAAAAGGACTGATTCTCAAGCTATTGTAACTATAATAGCACTGGTCAAAGACGTCTGACCTAAAAGATACAAGGAGTAGAGCAGGCTATATCTGAGCAGTACATAGGTTAAAAGTGTTTTGAGGATTGAGACTGCTGAGGAAATGATGGAAGACCACTTTAACCAAGATGTAAGTCTAAGAAAATACCATCAAGGAAGAATGTAAAGTGTAGCCAGGAAACAAAGAAGAATGAGAGTTGTTGGGGTAAGAAAAAAGATTATTAAAGAAAGGCAAAGCAAACAGAAGCTTAGTTAAATATAGCAAGGGGGGATGAATAAAGATTAGGACAAATGGGGGTAATCTGAAGCACGGTTTGATGATTAATCTTACAAATACAATTTTTGTACCATTATGTTCTTTACATGCATCCTGAAACTCTAAAACCAAGAAAGAGAAAATGAGGAATTGAACTGTTCTAGATCTGTGGAAATCAAGAAAAGGAAAAGATTCAAATGATAGTTAAGAGGAACTTCTAAGTTAGTTATATTTTATGAGTTAGGTGTTAAGGAGCACCAGATAACCAATTAGCAGTAAAGCATAAGGGAAGGAGAATAAATAGTACAGAATATCCTTCAAGATTTCTGGTTTTGAGACCATATTGTCACCCAAAGAAGTTGAGTACCTATGTCACTGTTAATGCTACCTTCCTACACATGATGTTTTGTACACTCCTTCATCCTCTACAACTATCCAAAGCCTTAAAGTCTACTTTTAAATTTAAATCTACCTTTTCCATAAAGCCTTTTCCAACTATGCAGTACACATTGCTATCTTAGGCTTCCTCTTGGTATCAGTATTAACATACCTCCATCAATAAGAAATCTGTGAGCATTCACCCAAAATATATTAGTATGTATAAAATACAAATGCATATTTATATTTACATAAATGTATAATCAGTTATAAATTAATGTTTATAAATATAAATTTATAAAATATAAATATGTATTACAGTGTTCATTATAAAACATATTTAAAACATAAAAATAAATAAAAATAGAAATTCTAACATTTTCTTCCCTTTTCCTAAAGGAAATTTTGCTCACCCCTTCATTTTGGACACCATTACTCTAAGGGTTTTATGTATTTAAGCTTCCTCCAACAATAATCAGAGATTTCTCAAAAGGATGGTATGTTACTTCTATACATTCCTACAACATCTAAGGCAATGCTAAAAAACACACATGGTTCTATTTCACAATTCTAGAATACTTTTTTCAAATTTGTCAAAATATATTGCTCTACTGTGAGAAAATCATATAATACAATTGCATTTTTAATATGACAAATAGCCACTTAATTTCAATATTAGACTGAATTATTACAAATAAATATCCATTAAAGACATTTTAAGAAACAAAATTCTTCCTTAGCCTAAGACATTAAATTAAACAATTCTAAAGAAAATAAGTATAGGTATACAAAAATTAACTCAAGATGGATTAAAGACTTAAATGTAAGACCTAAAACCATAAAAACCCTGGAAGAAAACCTAGGTAATACCATTCAGGACATAGGCATGGGCAAAGACTTCATAACTAAAACACCAAAAGCAACGGCAACAGAAGCCAAAATTGATAAATGGGATCTAATTAAATGAAAGAGCTTCTGCACAGCAAAAGAAACTACCATCAGAGTGAACAGGCAACCTACAGAATGGGAGAAAATTTTTGCAATCTACTCATCTGACAAAGGGCTAATATCCAGAATCTACAAAGAGCTTAAACAAGTTTACAAGAAAAAAACAAAAACCCCATCAAAAAGTGGGCAGAGGATATGAACAGACACTTCTTAAAAGAAGACATTTATGCAGCCAACAGACATATGAAAAAATGCTCATCATCACTGGTCATCAGAGAAATGAAAATCAAAACTACAATGAGATACCATCTCACAGCAGTTAGAATGGCGATCATTAAAAAGTCAGGAAACAACAGATGCTGGAGAGGATGTGGAGAAATAGGAATGCTTTTACACTGTTGGGAGTGTAAATTAGTTCAACCATTGTGGAAGACAGTGAGGCGATTCCTCAAGGATCTAGAACTAGAAATACCATTTGACCCAGCAATCCCATTACTGGGTATATACCCAAAGGATTATAAATCATGCTACTATAAAGACACATGCACACATATGTTTACTGCAGCACTATTCACAATAGCAAAGACTTGGAACCAACCCAAATGTCCATCAATGATAGACTGGATAAAGAAAATGTAGCACATATACATCATGGAATACTACGCAGCCATAAAAAAGAATGAATTCATGTCCTTTGCAAGGACATGGATGAAGCTGGAAACCATCATTCTCAGCAAAAATATCAAAAGGACAGAAAACCAAACACCATATGTTCTCACTCATAAGTGGGAGTTGAACAATGAGAACACATGGACACAGGGAGGGGAACCTCACACACCAGGACCTGTTGCGGGGTGGGGGGCTGGGGGAGGGATAGCATTAGGAAAAATACCTAATGTTAATGACAAGTTGAGGGGTGCAGCAAACCAATGTGGCACATGTATACCTATATAACAAACCTACACGTTGTGCACATGTACCCTAGAACTTAAAGTATAATAATAATTTTTAAAAAGTAAGTATAGGTATATATAATGATTTAAAACACTATTTTATGCTCGAAGGAAGAATAAAAAATGGAATGGTTTATATTATAACCATTCTAATTTAAAGTTATCCTAAGAAGATACAATTATTTGCATTTGATAGTACAATTTTACATGATAAAGGGTTAATCTATAGTGGAAAATTAAGCCTCACAGAAAAAAAGGATAAATATGGTCCAAAAGTTCAACCAAACAACCTAACTACTTGTGAAATGTAAAGCACACATTTCCGATACTAGATAATATTTTAGTTGATAATTATTTTAATTATACAACTATTTAAATCTAATAATAAAGCTTACATAAAGTAATGAAAATATTTTATAAAATATTTGCCAATTCATGAATATTTTTAATTTATAAAAAATATTTTTTCACTAAAATTGGAAACTATTTTATTCTTTGCAATTTTCCACATTTGTAGATATGAAGAGTTATGAATATGAAGCATAGGTTATTAGAATTATCGAATTACATGGCCATAAATTATAAAATAACTACTGTAGAGAATGTCTCTCTCGTGGCCATGAAAGTTGTTGAATTTTAATAACACCTTATGATAAAATAGGATCACATTTTCCTGTGAATAGTACATAATGTAACATGACAAAGCAATGAAATTTCAAAATTCAATTAAACAATAACAGACATTTCTCACGAAGAATTATTAAGGTCTCTGAATCCTAAAATAAAGAAAACAGAATATCAACTTCTCTTAGTTGTATTCTGTTAGGAGACTCAGACCTCTCTTAGGCTCCCCACACTTCTAAATATCTATTAACTGCATAATAAAACTGAATAAAACACTCTTTCTTAAGGTTTAAATTTTCTACCTTCAAATATTGAAATAAAAATATTATCAAGCAATCTCTACTGGCAAATGACAGAGGGGAAATTATATTTTATTTCAAAACAGTGTTTATGATTCTATAATAAGTTAATATTATTAAAGTACACACATTATTCTCTAAGTCTTACCCAGCTCACTTGATTTCTTTTGAAGCTCCATGGTAAGTATTTTCAATTGATCTTCATTTTTTTCCAATCTTGTAAAATATATCATTTTCAATACAAAATATTATTTTAGTCAGAATTCATCTCATAACTAAAATTGGTGCAATTTAGCAACTGATATATCTTAGAATAGATTCACCCACTGGATTGTTAAACATTTATTAAGTACCTACTCTGCACCATATAGTGTAACATTTTAAAATAAGATATTACTATTATAAATACATAATTCTATATTACATTTATGTAATATACATAGATATACCTTAAAGCTTATGGTATAAGTTTTCTCTTAGCTGTTGATGATAATCAGATTAACGCATCCTAGAACTCTGAAAGAAATTGAGTATGTAACTACTATTATACTGAATTCTGCCTTAGGAACAATATAATTATGAGAACATGTATAATTTGGTTAACTTCTCTGGCTTTCTGTTTCCTCAAAGTATAAAACTGAGGTAATAGGGATAGAGGAATCTTAGGTAACCTACCTTTTTAAAAATGAAAAATCACTGGATAGGTCAATCAAAAATATATAAATTAGGGGAGCTAGAAAGGCTAGCTTTTCCCTCACCATGCACAAGCAACAGAGAAAAACTATTGCTAGGCCCCGGCTATGGCTTCAGAGAGAAACCTGTTCTCCTTTATCCTACCAAACTTAATTAACCCTAATGCTAATGAGACAAAAAATAATTATCTAGGCCTCCTAACACAGCTTTATATAAATATTTCCTTAATATAGAGTAGTAAAAAATAGAGTCTTTAACACTCAAGCATTAGAAAAACTGCTATTTAGATGAAATGAAAATACTAGTTTATTTTTTATGTAATCACATTTGTGAAACCATTTATTTAATAAGTTAATGATAATTAATTATATTAATTAAATTTATACTGATTAATTGGTTAATTTAATAAACATAGAGTAGTACTTACCTATGCCAGGCTAGCTGCTAAATTTATAAATCAGAAAGGTCTACAGACCTCAGTAAGATAAACCTGACAGCCTGGAAGCTACTTCTAGGAAGCTAATAATAATCTACAGAGTCATTAAATATATCATATCACTGCATCAACCTTTCATGAGTTTATGTATATAACTAAATTCTATGGCAAAGCATACATGAGAACTATCCTAGAGAACATCTTCTTTTACATCTTTTCCTAAGATATCTGTCTATCCAAAGAAACTTTTAAAATGTATTCCCACTTTATACATGAGACCTGACTACAGTTGTTATATGAATTACACACATCAGTTGGCAATGCAAAGAAAATGGCATTGAATATTAAAAGTAAATTGTTTTTATTCACTTATTTTGTGTATTAAAAATAATAAATATTTTACCTTTGCTGTTCTGTTCTCAATAATTCTTCCAAGCTGCAGACAGTAGTTTCAAATTCAGTAACCACAAACGAATGAGCAGCTCTAGCTTTATTAGATTCTTCCATTTGAGTTTCTTTTTCTTCAGTTAGCTGACAAATTGTTTTTGTTGCTATCTGTAAATCTTCCTCTAAAGCCTTTTGAGTACTCTAAATGAAATAAAGTATAAAACAAGAGCAATGATCCAAAGGCCTTAACCAAAAAAGCTGAACTTATCTGCTTCTATACATTCACTGCCCCTTTCCCACCCTCATATTTTCCTATTATTCCTCCTTCCTACCCTGGAATGCCCACCCACTACTCTTATTTCAATTCACTGTTCTCCAAATCCCACCTATAGTTCCAGCTCCTCCATGGAGCCTTCCTAGCCAAACCAGCCATACTGTTCTTTCAATTCTTAGAACTATTAATTTATTACCTAAACCACCCTGTTGTCACCTGTCCAGGGTCTTGTATTTTAATTATACTTTTGATGTGTTTTTATGCAATGTCTCTAAACTATAGCATTTTGCAGACTAGGATTGTGTCTTCTCTAACTATTTGAAACTCCAGGTCCTTGTACATTGTATTAGTATTTAATAAATATTTGTTGACTGATTGATAGGGTGAGACTTATTACACACTAATGAGTTTTTAAATCATACCACACTTCTTTGTAATGACACTTTAATATCTTCTAGTTCTTTAGTCAAATGATGCTGTTTCTCAATTGATTGTTTTAAGTTTTCACTCTGTAATTCTAAAAGAGAAAGTTATAAATAGATAGTACTTAGCAGAAGATATATACCAAGAAAACTAAGTATTATTTGTGACAATTAGTCTTTTTCCTCCGTTAGATAATAGTCCAAAATGAGAAGAAAATATGCAAATATAGACACACAAATATTGGTCACCATCAAGCTTTATTGACTTTTCAAGATTGTTATCTCCCAAGAACTCAAAAATAAATATTTAAGGATTTACATTTTTTATAATAGCAAAACATTAGAAACTACCTAAATATCCAAAAGTAGACAAATTATGGAGGCACATATATGGGATGGTATACCATGTAGCCACTGAAAATGTAATACAAATTTTATTGATTATTAATTTGGATATTCATAAAACATAGAATAAAAAGAGTGGGTTTAAAACAATATTTAAACACTGCATGCAAAAGGAAAAGATACACACTAAAATATGAAAAGTAATTTATCTCCCGATGGTAAAATTATTCACGATTTTATTTTCATTATTGATTATCTTGATTTTTTTATTTTTCAAAATACTCTATTAAATGATAAATAAAAGCTTTTGACTCCACTTAAGAGCCCATTTTTAATAAATACTAAGTCTCAGGTACTAGTCTATATGTTTTATATTTGTGCACTCATTTTTAAACATCATAAAAGCAATAGGAGAAAAAAGAAGTTCATTATATTCTCTGAATTCAAATTATACGATTTCCTTTTACTAAGCTACCTGGCCTCGGGCATGATACTTAACCAGTCTGACTACTTTTCCCACCTGGCATGTTAGAATAATGATAATTATTCATATTATGAAGAGTCACCTGCTGTTAGAATTAAACAAGATAATGCAACTTAAAATGCTTAAGCACAGTGTCTAATCTATAATCAATAAATGATAACTGCTATTAAGATGATGATAATGGTGATATATGGTAGAAACTGAACACTAATATTCATGATAATTTACAATATATTGGTCAGGCAGGCAAATAAACAATGATTGTGCTGATGGGTACTCACTGGAAGTTCTGGGAGTTTACCTAGAGGGGACACCTAAGCCAAATAAGATCAGTCAAGGTTAGAGGTACAGGGAGACAGAAAAAGTTTAAAGACTTCAAGAAAGTAGCAGCTGAGTTGAAACATTTGAAAGACAGTAAGAATTAAATTAGCAAAGGTAATGGAAGTTAGGAGAGAAAAGGTCACGGGCAAGTGTAAGAGCACATACAAAGGAAAACACAGAAGAGATAGAATGACACGTTCTGGCATCTAGAGAAAATGTATTTTAGGAGCATAAGGCTTGAAGTATAACGAATAAGTCACAGGAGATATGATTGGAAACGTAACAAGGACAAGATCATAACAGGACTTATATAACTTGCTCAGAGTCTTCTGGTTCATAATTCATGAAGACCATGCAAAACAATAAAGGATGTTAAGCAACAGAAGTACGTGCCAAGTTTATATTTTTAAAATTCCATTCTGAAAAAACTACATAGAATGAAAGGGTCATTGGTCCGACTGTGGGGAAAAAATAGAAAAAGTAAATCTGGGCCAGGCCCGGTGGTTCATGCCTGTAATCCCAGCACTTTGGGAGGCCGAGGCGGGTGGATCATGAGGTCAGGAGTTCGAGACCATCCTGGCCAACATGGTGAAACCCCGTCTCTACTAAAAATACAAAAATTAGGTGGGCATGGTGGTGCATGCCTGTAGTCCCAGCTACTCGGGAGGCTGAGGCAGGAGAATCACCTGAACCAGGAAGGCGGAGGTTGCAGTGAGCCAAGATTGCACCACTGCACTCCAGCCTGGTGAGGGAAATGTTGACTAATGATTGTGGTGTCCATTATGATACTATTTCTTATGGTCTGGTGATAAATGTCTCCTCTGAAAAATCATAAGCACAAACTAGCCCTTAGGCATGTATCGGAACGGAATGTATACTGCCAGAATTTTCCAAAGAGCTCCAAGCCAAAATTTAATTTGAAGTGCTCCTAAGTTTCCCCAGGAGCCTAGAAAATGGAATATGCAAATTTTCTTCAGGCCTAATATACTGCTAATTCAGGCCTTAAAGAATTTCCACAAATAAAGTTACATGACCTCACAATCAACAAACACAATGGGAAACAAAGCACCATGAACAGAGTCAGCAAAATGAACAAAAGGCCAACTTAGATCTACAAAGATTTCATATTTTAGAATTATTGGCTATGAAATTTAAAAATAAGTATTATCACATACTTTGTAAACTAAAGGAAGATATCAGTAAATCAATAAAACTACTAGAAGTAATACATAAAATTGAAACTGAAAACTCCAAAGCGATAATGATGAGCTTTGTCATTTAAACACTTCTGTAAAAGGGAATAAAAATTCAAGATCAAATATTAAGAATATTAAAGCATTAAGCTCCTGACAAAAATAGGAATTTGCCAGGCCAAAAATGAAGAGAAAATAGAAACCTATAGAAGTAAGGTAACCACAAAACTTGCTTGTGCCCAGAGGGCATTTGCAGACCCTGGCAAAGTTGGACTTTTGGTTTGAAATATGATGGGATAGAGAATTTAAGATATATGAAAACCCAAAGATTACAGAAGGTAGAGGGTGTCTAAGAAGTAAACTTTTGTACAATAAGCCGGGACAGTTTTGATGTAAGGAGCAAACAAAAGTAAACCAACTCACAGGCAGATTTGCAGCCCAGGTTCAAATCACCTGCGTAGTTCAGGACACCCCAAGCGTTCAAGCTGCCTTAAGGTTGTCCCAAATGGATAGAAATATCATGTGCATGGGGGGAAAAAAAGCAAATCCTTCCAGGTGGATGTTAAGCAGGCCTTAACTTATTCCTACAAGTAATCTTTTTTTTCAAGTAAAAAAAATGAGCATAAAGTCAAAAACAATAAGGCACACAAGCAAACAAGGTACTTTGACTAAAAACTATCATAAACAAGACAGAAAGAGAATCACAAACATTTAAAATAAAAAAATCAGAAAAGGACTATAAAACAGCTATGGTTTGTATATTTAAAGAAAAGACAACCTCGAAAATAAGAAGAAACTGAAAACTAGATAAAGTAGAATGGCAGGTTAGAAAAAGAAGAATAACATCTTAAAATAAACATCTTAGTAACTAAAAATAAAATGGAGGAATTTCATGATGTGTGAGAAATAAAAGAGAAGAAAATTAGTGAATTACAATACAGGTAAAAAGAAATTAGGATAAGGTATAGAAAGGCAAAACTGTTGAAATAGAAAAAAGAGATTAAGAGTCAAAGAAGAGTTAGAAAATTAATGAAGGTTTTTATTTTGGTTTCGGGTTTGGTTTTGTTTGGTTTGTTTGTTTGTTTGTTTGTTTGTTTGTTTTGAGACAGGGTCTCACTCTGCCACCCAGGTTGGAGTGCAATGGAGCAATCATAGCTCACTGTAACCTCGAACTCCTGGGCTCAAGTGATCCTTCCACCTCAGCCTCCCAAGATGCAACACGGGTTTTTTCCACGTTTTTTTCTTACTCAGAAAATGAGGAAACAGAAAGTAGAGCAAATACAATATCTGAAGAGATTATTGTTGAGAATTTCCAAGAAACAATAGTAACAGACAGTAATTTACAGATTGAAGAAGCTATTAAACAAAACTAAGCGTATGAGTTAACATATTATACTGTAAATGCTAAAAATCGAAGATGAAGAAAATCTGAAAACCCATAAGAGAGGGAAAAGATATTACTGACTTCTTAAAATCAACAAAGTAAGCCAGGCGTGGTGGTTCACATCTGTAATCCCAGGACTTTGGGAAGCCAAGGCAGGAGGATCGCTAGAGCCCAGGAGTTTGAGACCATCCTGAGCAACACAGTGAAACCCTGTCTCTACAAAAAATGTTAAAATTAGCCAGGTGTGGTGGCATCTGCCTGTATCCCAGCTACTCAGGAGGCTGGGTTGGGAGGATCACTTGAGGGCATGATTGTGCCACTGCACTCCAGCCTGGGCAACAGAGCGAGACTCCATCAAGAAAGGAAGGAAGGAAGGAAGGAAGGAAGGAAGGAAGGAAGGATAATACCTTCCATGTGCTAAAAGAAATGTCTAGAAATAATGTACAGTGTGCCAACCTAGAAAGACATATCATGCAAACATATCCTTTATGGATGAGAATGAATAAACAAATTTTCAGACAAATGGAATCTATGACAGCTAATCACAAACATATTCTCACTAAAGGAGATTCTAAATATTCCTCTTCAAAACAGAAAGAAAATGGTCTGAATGAAAAGTTTAAGATACCAAAAAAAAGAGCAAAGAAATTGAAAAAAATACATGGGTAAAACGAAATAAATATTGTCTGTACAAAACAGTAATAATAATGTTCCATCTATAGAACTAAAATACACATATTGTAGCACTATTCACAATAGCAATATGGAATCAACCAGTGTTCATCAACAGATGACTGGATAAAGAAATGTGTGTGTGTGTGTGTGTGTGTGTGTGTGTGTGTGTGTATATACACAAATTGGAATACTGTTCAGCCATAAGAAATAATGAAATCATGTAAAATCTAATTGTTATCTACTTAAATTTTTGATAATTAATACTCTTTAAGAACCAACTATTATTAGCAAGTGACAAAATAAATTAGGCAATAACAAGCAAACATTAAAAAGGAAAACAAAAATTAGTTGATCATAATTAATTTAAATGAATATTTCTAGGGAGGGTGGAGTAGTTAGTAGCATACCAACTCTCACGCTGGAAACAACCAGAAAAGACAAAATGACATAAAAGGACTAAACGGGCTAAGATTCTTAAAAGAAAACTGCTGAAAGTGAACTGATAAAGTACAACTGACATCTGCCGATCTGGGCATAAGCAAAAGACTAAGATGCTGTCTTAACCCAGGCAGAGGCCTGTTGCTAAGGTACAGAAAAGCCAGCTTACTTTTGAGAGGTCTCAAAGAGCTGAAGAAACAAAATTGAAAACCTGAAAAACCTTATATACTTGGCCAGTTTCCTTTCATTTAGCTCAGTCTCTAACTGGAATCAGATAATCAGCCCAACATACCCCCAATTTCTCTCCAGCAGAGAAAAGACAACATCATCGGGAAGCTCCAAGATTTTTCTTATTACAATGCACAGGATTTAATTTTAAAAATTACAGGGCACACCAAAGGATAACAACAAATGCCCAAACAGCAAAATAAAAAAGAAAAAGTAAAAAGAAAGAAAATCAAATAGTGGTTGCCAGAAGCTGCAGGAAGAAGGGAATGGGATGTTATTTTTTAATGGGTACAGAGTTTCCATTTTGCAAGATGAAAAGAGTTCTTGGATGGTGAGTTCTTGGAGAAGAAAGATGGTGGTTATGGTTGCATAACAATGTGAACATACTTAATGCTATAGAACTGGACACTTAAATATGATTAAGGTGGTAAATTTTATGTTACAAGTATTTTACCATAGTTTTAAAAAAGAAACGATAGAAATAAACCAACAGATGAGACATATATTGAAATAAACAGAGAATAGCTATAAAATATCAATGACGAATATATATTTAAGAGGTGAAAAATGAGATTTTTAAAAGAGGAGAAAACTTAACCACAGAATTGGACTCTTAAGTAATCAAATGGAAACTTCAAAATGAAAAATACATGATTCATTTAAAGTTAAGAATTCAGTAGATAGATTTAAAGCAAATTAGACACATCACAGCCAGGATTAGATAACAGATCAGTAAAAAATATCCACACTGAACACAGAGAAAAACAAGTGGAAGATACATACTTATGGAAAACAATGAAAAGTCACTTAAATGAACACACTTCAGTGGGTATGAGTCTACAGGAATCATATAGAATTACAGTTATTTATTAATTTTTTCAGTTTATATGATAAGATTAAATATTATTTCATTCATCCAACTATTGAACTCATATTATGTGCAAAACCATATACTGGGCACTACAGTTACAAAGATATTTAAGACCCAATCCCTCCTCAATACACTCCTAGTCACAGGGGACAAACAGGTAATGTTTATGCCCTTACTAAGAATTTAGCCAACAGACTTGGGGTGGAGAGAAGAGATTCATTTTGAGTACAGGAAGTAGCCAAAAGCATGGGGTGGGATTGAAAGAGCACAAAATATAGATGAAGTTAAATTATTTCAATATATCTGGAGTATATCATATAGTAATGACAGTAAGATGAAATTAGCAGGTATAGATTGGCAGAAACCAGATAATTATTTGCCATGTGAAGACAAGAGAATGTTCTGAAGAATAGAAAAACAACAAATGCCATAATATCCCTATAATGTTCTGGAAGGTGCATGGTGTTTCACAAACACTATGCCTTCTAAGTGTCCTGCCGTTTAAAAAAGTTTGAAAAATATTCCCTAATAAGACAGTCTAAACATGACATAACACTCAGGATCCTTCATAAAGGGATCCAAATCTTTTACAATTTCATCTGTCTGAGTTCAATAAGATGTTGCCACACCAGTCAGTTTACTAAAAATATACCCTAACATTCCTACTTCCATGACTTGCACAAGCCGTTTATTCCACCTGTATTGTCTACTCCAGTTCACTGTCTAGTAAACTTTTAAACAGTTCAACAGTTTTTCCCTAATGCCTTTCTAAAGGTCTCTCTCTGGGAAAAATTAGTAACTCTCTCCATCATGCTCCCATATGATTTGTTCATTCAAAAAATAATTTTTGCTAGGCGCAGTGGCTCACGCCCGTAATCCCAGAACTTTGGGAGGCTGAGGCGGGTGGACCACCTGAGGTCAGGAGTTCGAAATCAGCCTGGCCAACAAGGCGAAAACCCGTCTCTAGGAAAATACAAAAATTAGCCAGGCGTGGTGGTACACACCTATAGTCCCAGCTACTAGGGAGGCTCAGGCAGGAGAATCGCTTGAACTCGGGAGGCAGAGGTTGCAGTGAGCCAAGATTGTGCCACTGCACTCCAGCCTGGGTGATACAGTGAGACTCCATCTCAAAAAACAAAAATAATATTATTAATTTTGAGTGCCTTATATGTGCCAGGCATTGTTCTCGGCACTTGGAATGCAACAGTTCCAAGTCAGTGAACAAAAAAGACAAGGTCTCTGTCTCTGTGGAGCATATAGTTGAAACATTTGAAAAAGGTAAGAGCATGGAAAAAGGAAAAGAAGAGTACATGTATTTTACAAAAGCTCCCCAGGTTAATCTATTATGCCCTCCTCCAACCGAACCAACTCAGATTGAGAAGTACAGTACTAGAAAGCATTACAACAAACTTGTAATGAAAGTCAATGTTTAGAACATAACAAGAGGAATACATAAGGCACATTATATTATCTTATATAAACTCTTACTTGTCTTTTCCTCTAATTGATTAACTTTATCTCTGGATTCCTCTAGCAGAAATGTTAAATCTTTCATTTTATTTTCTTTCTCAGTGATTTGGATCAATAGTAGTGATACCTAAAATATTTAAATAATACATTATCAATATGAAAATTTAAATATGACACCTTAACATTTATAATACCTACAATTATTTTATGTACTTGTCTACATGCTTTTCAGCTGGTCCACTTAACCCTCCCACCCTGGTCTCTACTCCCTGGCAGCCAATGTAGTCAGAGAACTGGCCCTATTATCTTTGTAAGAGACAGTGTCATATCAAATTGAAAAAGGCAATCTCTAAACATCGGTATTCCAGGCACAGGGATGGGTGGGGGTATATATAATGGAAAAGTCAACATACATAATGGTAAGATTCAGTCTGTCTTTGCTATCCTGCCCAATTCAGCTCCAGAATGCCATCAGCCAAGTTTATATCCACAAGCAAGAATTTAGAAACCCCCAGCAAAAAAAGTGTTACAAATAATGACATTTAGGAGTCCTCAGCAAAAACACTAGCTGGCCATGCCATCATTTTACAAGGAAGCCCAACAATCTGTAAGCTCTGCCCATGCACCTAGAACTCCAAAAAGCGTTTCAGTACTTCACTCTATTTTTGTGGTTTTTATTATCCTCTCTGTACTGTGAATTAATTTTTTAAATTATTAAGTAGATATCCTTGTTAACCATATTAGAAGATATCTTGTGGCAAATCAGACAAGAAAAACTGCAAATATAGTGAGAAATAGAAGAGGATTCTATTATATATATTGCTTTCCATTTGGGAAGCAGAAGACTTGAAACTGATAGAGATGGCATAATAATAATCTGAAACATTCTTGTGAATGCCAAAGGATATAGAGTTAACATTTTCAAGTCTTCCACTATATGACATGAATATAAAAAACATCTGTGTCTTGTTTTCTTAGGCTAAAAAAGAAAAAAGAAAGATGCAACAGAATATTTTAGTTCCTCTTCATTGATATTATGAATAGCACATTTCAAAACAAACTGCAAAATGTAAGTTGAGTAGTCAATGATCATCTATACATTTCATGAAGTTTTTGTCTGAACAAAAGTTCTCACAAAATAATATATTTTGAGGCAATATCCTATTACCCACTGATATAAATATTATAGAAGAATAATTGATTAAAACCCAAAAAAAGCTAGAGTGAGTACATATTTGAGTCAATGAAAATTAAGTGAGTCTAAAGGCTAAATATTAATATATGTATAATATTAAAATTCTCTCATAGGAATTTATCATACTTTCAGTAAATATAAACTTCTTTTGAAATTTTAAGTTTTTAATGAATTAGCAAATATAAAGAATACAAAGAGTTGGTTTTTTAAAAAACCTGCTTTTCCTTGTCATTTATTTCCTTCTTGTATTCTTGTTCAAGGTGTTGGATTTTTTCATAATCTTCCTTTACTTTAAAAATAAAACAAATATACTGTAATGTCATAACATAATTTTATAACATTTCTATTACAAACAAAATTTAAAGTTTATTTCACCTCTTTATTTATCTCTAAATTATATTAAACTCTAAAAGTTTGTAATGAGCTAATATTGCTGTTTTCTTCCTTTCTGTTTAGTAAAATAGTAAATATAAATAATATCAGTTATAATAACCTAAAATTCTATAATTCTTATATATAAAACTTTATTCTCTAAAACACACTAATCTGAAACAACAGGTTTTAAATATGTATAATATGATACATATACAATTATTTTAACATGCATACTATACCAAGATATGTAAAAAGAGACCAAATCACATTTCTAAAAAAAAAATAAAATTAGTTTGATTTCATGAAAGATGTAGTTTTAAAACCCAAAATTATTTTTAACAAATATTAATTCCCTGCCACATTCCACAAGATTTAGAGGGGCTTACAGAAATAAATAAAATAGAAAATAGTTCAGAGCATCAGGCTAAAGAGATGAAGACATTAACGGAATCTGATAAAAATATAAATAGCAAAACAGTAATATAAAAATTAAGTAAGATCCCTATACCTACACTTAAAATGCATTTCCAGTCTGGAATTCTCAGCTTGCACACGAAGTTCCTCAAAAGCTGTTATCATTTTCTGAAATATAAAGTTTTAAGAATCATACTTAAATTTTTTTAAATAGCTTTCTTCAAACTATGAAAATATTACCAAATTTGTATCATGTGATCATTAAATTTAAAACCACACAATTTGGAATAACTAAAACACTGTAATTTGAATTACTTACTAAAAATGTATTAAGAGGGCCTTATGTTAGTTTCCCAGATGCTTAAATGCACTGGCAACATGTTATACAATACAAAATAGCAGCAAATGGATTGTTGGTACACCAGCCATTTACTTAATAGCATGTATCAAAATCTGTAATTTTGTATTTATTTGTGCTTATTTATTTACGTCTTCTCCACTAATGTGAGGCCTCTCCCCATGAATCCAAAGTTACACTTCCATCAGCTGGCAGCATGTGTTCATTCGGCATTCAACAAATCTTGCTTTGTAAAATCAGGTTAATTAATTAATTAATTACTGAGTGCCTATTATGTGCCAGGAACTGTTTTAGGTAATAGGAATAGAAGACAAAGTCTCGGCCGGGCGCGGGGGCTCACGCCTCTAATCCCAGAACTTTGGGAGGCCGAGGCGGGCGGATCACGAGATCAGGAGATGGACACCATCCTGGCTAACACGGTGAAACCCCGTCTCCACTAAAAATACAAAAAATCAGCCGGGCGTAGTGGCTGTCCCCTGTAGTCCCAGCTACTCCGGAGGCTGAGGCAGGAGAATGGCTGAACCCGAGAGGCGGAGCTTGCAGTGAGCCGAGGTTGCGCCACTGCACTCCAGCCTGGGCGACAGAGCCAGACTGTCTCAAAAAAAAAAAAAAAAAAAGAAGACAAAGTCTCTACCCTACTGGACCTTACAATAAAGTGTAAAAAAGAATACAAATACACACACACACACACACACACACACACATATCAAATACATGCCATGCAGCTTTATGTGCTCTTGAGAAAAGTTAAATGAGATGGATATATATGGAATAATCAAATAGAAATTTTAGATAAAGTATTAAGGGGAGAATAACAAAAAAGCAGAATGAAGTTTAGAAATGTGCATAAGATCTTAGACATAAAAGTTCTGCAAAGGGTACAAATTCAAAGAACCACCATCAGAAAGAGCTTGGCAAATTTGAGAAACATAAAAGAGTGACTACAGCAGAAAAGCAAAGTGGACAATGACAGGAGATGAGAAAACAAAGGTAAACAGAAGCCAGACACAGATGAATAATACTTTATATGTTTTCAAATTAATGGTTATGTGTCACAATGTGCTGATTTCTGACAAAAGGCAGTAAATATTTGATAAATTAAGTGATGTCACTAACATGTAAATCAAAAAGCTCCTACATAACATTAATGCTCATAGTACAGAACCTTAGGAATTTTATTAGTGATACAATAATATATCAACAAATAAATAATAATCTTTTTAGTAAGAATAGTTGTCCATATCTTTGTAGCAATCGCTCTAATTTGCTCAGAAATTCCTATGTTTAAAATACTCAGATTTCATTAACACTCACCTCAATGTTATTATTTAGATCCATATAAACTTGCCTGGTTTCTTCCCGTTCATATTCATCTATTGTTAATATAAAAATTTCAAGATTAAATTTTAAAATAAGATGTCAACAAGACAATACTCAAAATGCCTCCAGAAAACATTAAAATATTTAAAATTCTGTGTTAATGATGAACATTGGGTTATCTAAATCATTACTGGGTCTTTTTAAGTTGCATCAAAAGCTGTTTGGGTTCAGTCTGTTGTGAAGAAGCTTAGAAGTCACTGCTCCATCCTAACGACAGGTAAAAAGCTGAACAAACTAAAAAATTAATAACTCTTCTCAGATCCTTAAGAGAAGTAAAGTCGCAGGGCAAACTACTACCCCAAAATTGGAGAGACAGGCAAACACAGAGAGAATTACAACTTACCAGGGCAGAAACCCATAAGCAGAAAACTCTGTGGGAACCAGAGTCAGGGAAAGAAAACCTGAACTATAATTGACACATTGCTGGAAATTCAGTGTAAACAAATCTGAGAGATACACTATGTGGAGGCTGGGTGTGGTGGCTCACGCCTGTAATCCTAGCACTTTGGGAGGCAGAGGTTGGCAGGTTGCTTGATGCCAGGAGTTCAAGACCACCCTGGCCAATGTGGTAAAACCCCATCTCTACTAAAAATACAAAAATTCTCCAAGCATAGTACCACATGCCTATAATCCCAGCTACTCAGAAGGCTGAAACATGAGAATCGCTTGAACCCAGAAGGCAGAGGTCGCAGTGAGCTGGGCGACAGAGTGAGACTCTATCTCAAAAAATAAAAATAAAAAAACCTCTGTGGAGACCCAGTCATCAGAGAGGCCCCAGATTCTTGTGAGTTTAACCTTCTGGAGCTCTACCAGGTTTCTCACAATGAACATAGGAAAAACATCCCCTTGTGCTTCTAACAGGAAAAGCCGTTTTGAACTATACCAATATGTCCCGTTCTTAACAAGGCCTCCTTTGGGAGAGCAAAATCTGCTGGGAATTTGTCAGAGCCTAACTAACCTGGGGGAAGGGAAATACCCAATTCCAGACAGCTCTAGCCTTCCATGTGAAGTAAGGAAAATATCCAACTCCATCCCCCTCTAGCCATCCAGATGGAAAATGGGAAATTCCCAACTGCAGCCCACTCTACCACCTTGTCCCATCTAAGGAGGAGAGGGATGCAAGGGCTGAGGAGTATTTATGAAGTTCATTATCTGGAGGCAAAAATTTGCTAAAAAACTGAGACCTAACCATAGGTCTATAGAATACTCCTCCCCCTATACTTTACCAGCACATTACAACAATTCCTTTACCCAGTACATCATGTGTAGCTATCCAAAACAATAAAAATACAAGCATACTAAAAGCAAAAAATACACTTTGACAAGACAAGCATAAGAACCAGACTCTGATACAGTTAAGGATGTCAGAATTATCCCAGACCAGTAATTTAGAACAACTATGATTGATATACTAAGGGCTCTAGTACATAAAGTAGACATCACGCAAGAATAGATAAGCAATTTAAAGAGATAGGTGAAAATTCTAAGAATGACTCAAAACAAAAATGCTACATATCAAAACCACTGTAACAGAAATGAAGGGCTTGTGGGTGTGGGGGCTCATTCCCATAATCCCAGCCACTCAGAAGGCTCAGGCAAGATGATTACTTGAGGCCAGGAGTTGGAGACCAGCCTAGACAACATAGAAAGACGCTGTCTCTAAAAAAAATAAAACGAAGAAATGAGGGGCTTATTAGTAGACTAGACACAGCTGAGGAAAGTAATCTTTGAAGTTGAAGATATTTCAACAGAAACCTCAAAAACTGAAAGGCAAAGAGAAAAAAGACTAGAAAGAACAGAACAGAATATCCAAGAACTGTGAGACAACTACAAAAAGTATAATGGGAATACCAGAAGGAGAAGAAAGAGAAAAAGGAACATAAAATATTTGTAACAATAATGACTAAGAATTTTCCCTAAATTAATTTCAGACACCAAGTCACAGATCCAGAAAGCTCAGAGAACAGAAAGCAGGATAAATGCCAAAGACACTACACCTATGCATATTACATTCAAACTACAAAAAATCAAAGATAAAGCTAGAGGAAAAAAACATTTTACCTACAGAGGAGCAAAAAGAAAGATTCTATCTGACTCCTCCTCAGAAACCACGCAGGCAAGAATAGAATGGAGTAAAATATTTAAAATGCTGAGAGAAAAAACCAGCAACACAGAATTCTGTAATTTGAGAAACTATCCTTCAAAAGTGAAGAAATAAATACTTTCTTTGACAAAAGTTGACAGAATGTGTTGCCAGCAGACCTGCCTTCCAAGAAATGTTAAAAGAAATTATTTAAAGAGAAAGAAAATGATTTATGTAAGAAATTCAGATCTCTATAAAGAAAAAAAAGAGCAACAGCTGGTCTCAGTGGCTCACACCTGTAATTCCAGTGCTTTGGGAGGCCAAAGTGGGAGGATCACTTGAGGCCAGAAGTTCAAAACCAGCCTGGATAACATAGCAAGACCCCATCTCTGCCAAAAAAAAAAAAAAAGAAAAAGAAAGAAAAAAAAGAGCATCAACGCAGAAATAAGTGAAGGCTAAATAACTTTTATTTTTCTCATTCTTAATTGATCTAACATATAAGTTTGTCAAAAATAGTAATACCAATAATGGGCCAGGCGCAGTGGCTCACACCTGTAATCCCAGCACTTTGGGAGGCCAAGGCAGTTGGATCACTTGAGGTCAGGAGTTCAAGACCAGTCTGGCCAACATGGCGAAAATCCATCTCTACTAAACATACAAAAATTAGCATATTACTAAACATAAAAAAATTGGCACACGCCTGTAATACCAGCTACTCGGGAGGCTGAGGCAGGAGAATCACTTGAACCCAGGAGGCGGAGGTTGCAGTGAGCCAGGATCATGCCACTGCACTCCAGCCTGGGCAACAGAATGAGACTCTGCCTCAAAAAACAAAAAACAGACAAACAAACAAAAAAATAGCAACAATGTATTAGATTATAAATGCTTATTTATGCTTTATATAAAAGAAATTAATGACAGCAATGATACAAAAGACGGGAGGAGGCCAGCCGGGCCTGGTGGCTCAAGCCCATAATCTCAGCACTTTGGGAGGTGGAGGAGGGTGAATCACTTGAGGTCAAGAGTTCAAGACCAGCCTGGCCAACATGACAAAACCCCGTCACTACTGAAAATACAAAAATTAGCCGGGCTTGGTGGTGGGCACCTGTAATCTCAGCTACTCAGGAGGCTGAAGCACGAGAATCACTTGATCCCGGAAGGTGGAGGTTGTGGTGAACCGAGATGGCACCACTGCACTCCAATCTGGGCAATAAAACAAGACTCTGTATCCAAAAAAAAAAAGAAAAAAAAAAGATGGGAGGAAAGAATTATAAGGTACTCACTGTAACCTTGAAGCAGTAGAGGGTTATTTGAAAGTCGACTTGGATTACTGTAAATATATATTGCAAACTCTAGTGAAATCACTTTAAAAAGTAAAAATAGAAGTATAACTAATATTCTAAGAAAGGAGAGAAACTGGAATCACATAAAATGCTCAATTAAAACCACAAATAGCATAAAAAGAGTAAAAGACAAAAATAGGAACAAAGAACAGGACAACAAATAGAAAAACAGTAATAAATGTGGTAGATAATAATCCAACTATATCAATAATCACTTTGAATGACAATAGTCTAAATGACCAACTAAGAGATTGTCAGAGTGGATCAAAAAACAATACCCAACTACATGCTGTCTATAAGAAACTCACTTTAAATGTAAAATCACATCTAGAATAAAAGTAAATGGATAAAGATACACCATATTAACACTAATCACAAGAAAGCATGTTAACACTAATCAAAAGAAAATTAAAAACTTCTACTCTACAAAAGAGAATGTCAAGAGAATGAGAATACAAGCCACAGACTGGGAGAAAATGTCTGCAAAAGAAACATCTGATGAAGGACTGTTATCTATAATATACAAAGACTCAAATATTATTAAGTCTTTTCTCTTATTGTTGATTAAAATTCAACATTAAGAAAACAAGCAATTTGATTAAAAAATGGGCCAAAGACCTTAACAGACACCTTACAAAAGGAGACATATGGATGGCAAATAATCATATAAAAAGAGTAGCTATATTAATTTCAGACACAGCCAACTTCAAAGCAAGGAAAGTTGTCAGATATAAAGAGGGCCATTTCAAAATGCTTTTAGAGCTGGGCACAGTGGCTCATGCCCGTAATCCCAGTACTTTGAGAGGATGAGGATGGAGGATCACTTGAGCCCAAGAGTTCGAGACCACCCTAGGCAACGTAGCAAACCCCTTCTCTACAAAAAATAGAAAAATTAGCCAGGAGTGGTGATACACACCTATAGTCCCCACTACTCAAGAGGCTGAGGTAAGAAGATCGCTTGAGCCCAGGATTTCAAGGCTGCAGTGAACTATGATCACATCATTGCACTGCAGTCTGGGTAACAGACCAAGACCCTGTCTCAAAAAATAAATAAATAAATAAAAATAAAATGCTTTTGGGTCATTTCTCCAAGGAGATATAACAATTTTTAACATGTATAGGCCTAATAATATGGTGTCAAAATACGTGAAGCAAAAACTGGTAGAACCGCAAAGAGAAATAAATTAATCCACTATTATAGTTGAAGATTTCAACATCTCTATCAGAAATGGACAGACCCAGCAGGCAGAAAATCAGTAAGACATGTATGTTGAGTGTCCCTTATCCAAAATGTTTGGGACCAGGACAATTAATATATCAGATTTCAGATTTCTTTTTAGATTTTGGAATATTTGCATTGTGTTTACCAGTTGAGCATCCCCAATCTGAAAATCCAAAATCTGAAATGCTCCAATGAGCATTTCCTTTGAGCATCATTTTGGCACTCAATTGGATTTTGGAGTATTTTAGATTTGGGATTTTTGGATTAGGGCTGCTTAACCTGTAGTTGGATTCAATAAAACCATCAATCACCTTGACATTTACAGACTGCTTAATCCAACAATAACAGAATGCATAGTCTTCTGAAGCTCACATGGAATATTCATCAAGATAGACCATATTCTGGGCCATAAGACACACCTTAACAAATTTAAAAGATTATAAATTGTACAGTATCTGCTCTCAGATCACAATGGAATTAAACCAGAAATAAATAATAGAAAGATACCTGGAAAATCACAAAATGCTTGGAGAATAACCAAGACACTTCTAAATACCACCTGAGTCAAAGAAGAAATCTCAAGAGAAATTCAAAAACATTTTGAACTAAATGAAAATTAAAACACATATTATCAAAATCTGTGCGATACAGGAAAAACTGAGAGGGAAATTTATAGCATTGAATGCATAAATTGGAAAAGACAATCTGAAATCAATCATCTAAGTTTCCACTGTAGGCAACTAGAAAGAGAAGAGCAAATTAAATCCAAAGTAAGAAGGAGAAAAGAAGTAATAAAAATTAGAGTAAAAACCATGAAAGTGGAAACAGAAAATCAATATTTTAAAAAATCAATGAAACCAAAAGCTGGTTATTTGAAAAGATCAATAAAATCAATAAATTCTAGCCAGGCTAAGAAAAAGAGAGAGAGGATTCAAATTACTAATCCATAAATGAAAAAGGAGACATCACTACAAACCTCATGGATGTTAAAATGAAGAAATATTATGAACAATTCTATGCCCACAGGTTTGCTAACCTAAATGGAATGGACCAACTGTCAAAAGACACAACTGCCAAAACTCACAGAATTAAAAGCAGGCAATCTGAATAAGCCTATATCTATTAAAGAAATTAAGTCAATAATTAATAACCCTCCAGAACAGAAAGCACCAGGCCTGCCAGCTTCACTGGTGAATTCTACAAACATTTAAGGAAGAAACTATACCAATTCTCTACTATCTCTTTCAGAAGATAGAAGCAGAGGGAATATTTTCTAGCAGTACCCTAATACCAAAACCAGACAAAGACATTATAAGAAAATTACAGACAAATATCTCTCATGAACATAGATGCAAAAATACTCAACAAAACATTAGCAAATCAAATCCAACAATATATAAAAGGAGCCTGACACAGTGGCCCACACCTATAATCCCAATTCCAGCTACTCAGGAGACTGAAGTGAAAGGATTGCTTGAGGCCAAAAGTTTGAGACTAGCCTGGGCAACATAGCAAGATCCCATCTCTAAAAAGAAATTTTAAAAATTATCTGGGTGCAGTGGCACACACCTATAGTCTCAGCCACTGAGGAGGCTGAGGCAGGAGGATCACTTAAGCCCAGGAGTTCAAGGCTATAGTGAGTTATGATCATGCCTGTGAATAGCCACTGCACTCCAGCCTGGGTGACAGAGCAAGATCCTGTCTCAAAAAAAAAAAAAAGTATAAAAAAAATTATACAACACAACCAAATGGGATGCAGTCAAGGTATGCAAGGCTGGCTCAGCATTTTAAATCAATTATTGTAATCCATCACATAACAGGCTAAAAAATTACAAGATCATATCAATAGATATAGAAAAATTATTTGACAAAATCCAACACCCACTCATGATAAAAACTTTTAGTAAACTAGGAATAGAAGGGAACTTGCTCAATCTAGTAAAGAATATCTACAGAAACCTATAGCTAATATCATACTTAATGGTGAGAAACTAGAAGCTTTCCCACTAAGATCAGGAACAAGGCAAGGATGTCCCCTCTCACCATTCTTTTTCAACATTGTACTTAAAGTTTTAATTAATACAATAAAACAAAAAAAGGAAACAAATGGAATCAGATTGAGAAAAAAGAAATAAAAACTACTTTATTCACAGATAACATAACTGTCTATACAGAGAATTTGAAAGAATTAACAAAAAAAAATCCTGGAACTAATAAGCAATTACAGCAAGGTTACACGATACAAGATTAATATACTATACAAACGTCAATCATTTTCCTATACACCAGCAATGAATAAGCGGAATTTGAAATTGAAAACACAATACCATTTACATTAGTATACAAAAAAAATGAAATACTTAGGTACAAATCTAACAAAACATGCAAGATCTATATGAGGAAAACTATAAAATTTTGATGAAAACAATCAAATAATAATTAAATCAATAGAGAAAGATTCCATGATCATAGATAGGAAGATTCAATATTGTCAAGATGTCAATCCTTCCCAACTTGATCTACAGATTCAATGCAATCCCAATAAAAATCTCAGCAAGTTATATTGTGGATATCTACAAACTGATTCTAAAGTTTATATGGTGAGGCAAAAGACTCAGAAGAGCGAACACGATATTAAAGGAGAAGAACAAAGTTGGAGAACTGATACTATTCAAATTCAAGACTTACTATAAAGCTACAGTAATCAACATAGTGAGGGATTTGTGGGGGAAAAGGACAAAGAAATCAAGGGAACAAAATAGAGAGTCCAGAAACAGACCCAATATATATAGTCAACTGATCTTTGACAAAGGAGTAACAAATAGACCCAAACAAATATAGTCAACTGATATTTGACAAAGGAGTAACAGCTATAAAATAGAGAAAAGATGGTCTTTTCAACAAATGATGCTGAAACAAGTGGACATCTGCATGCAAAAAAAAAAAAAGAATCTGGACACAGATCTTACACCCTTAACAAAAATTAACTCAAAATTTATCATAGACCTAAATGTAAAATACAAACCATAAAACTCCAAGATAAATAGGAGAAAACCTGGATGATCTTGGGTATCACGATGACTTTTTTTTTTTAGATACAATCCATGAAAGAAAGAAATAATGAGCTGGACTTCATTAAAATTAAAAACTTCTGCTCTCCAAAAGATAATGTCAAGAGAATGAGAATACAAGCCGCAGACTGGGAGAAAATGTCTGCAAAAGAAACATCTGATAAAGGACTGTTTTCTATAATATACAAAGACTCAAAATTGTTAAGTCTTTTTTCTTATTGTTGATTAAAACTCAACAATAAGAAAACATGCAACCTGATTAAAAAATGGGACAAAGACCTTAACAGACACCTTACCAAAGGAGACATACAGATGGCAAATAATCACATGAAAAGATTCCCATCATATGTCATCAGAGAAATGCAATTTAGAACAACAAAGAGATATCAATACATACCCCTATTCGAATGGCCAAAATCCAGAACTTTGACAACACCAAATGCTGGTGAGAGTATAGAACAACAGAAACTCTCATTCACTGCTGGCGGAAATAAAAAATTGTACACCCACTTTGGAAGACAGTTTGGCAATTTCTTACAAAACTAAACATACTTTTACCATGTGATCCAGGAATTGTGCTCCTTGGTATTTACTCAAAGGAGTTTAAAATGTCCACACAAAAGCCTGCACATGGATATTTATAGCAGCTTTATTCATAACTGCCAAAACTTGGAAGCAACCAAGATGTCCTTTAGTAAGTGAATGGATAAATAAGCTGTGGTATGTGCAAACAATGAATGGAATATTATTCAGTGCTTAAAAAATGAGCTATCAAGTGATGAAAAGACATGGAGGAAACTTGAATGCATATTACTAAGTGAAAGAAGCCAATATGAAAAGCCTACGTACTGTAGGATTCGAACTACATAACATTCTGGAAAAGGCAAAATTATGGAGACAGTTAAAAGATCAGTGGTTACCAGAGTAGGGTGTAGAGAATCAATAGGCAGAACACAGAATTTTAGGGCAATGAAACTATTCTGTATTATACTATAATGGCGGACATATTTGTCCAAATCCATAGAGTGTACAACACCAAGAGTGAACACTAATGTAAACTATGAACTTTGGACAATTATGATGTGCCTATGTAGGTTCATCAATTGTAACAAACATGCCACTCTGGTGAGTTATGTTGATAATCGGAGAGGCTATAGATGCATGGGGCAAAAGCTTTGCAAACTGGACTCTGCATAAAACACTACCCAAGTCCCAGAACTATCCTTGAGTACAGCATACATGAAATAGACCCAGGGCAGCACAGCAAAGGCATTGAAAATTGAACTGATATTGGAACACCCACAATGAAAAGGCAAGACAGAACCTATTCTAAACCTAAGTGAGCTGACTGCCTGTTAGAAAATAAACAAATAAACATTCTCTAGGAAATCTGAAGAGGACTCAGATTCTCACAACATAATCCAGGATATAATACAGAATTGCTGAACATTCAATGAACTAGGAAAATTTAACCATTCTAAGTCTCAAATTATTAATTATTATCTAAGATAGCTGATGAGATAACCAATAAAACTAGGATCTATGGCAAAAAAAAAATCACAGAAATGGACCCCAGGGTATTGCAGACGTTGGCATTATTGGATACAACTATGTTTATTATGTTCATACAGATAAAAAGTAGAGCTTTAAAAAGTCAGCAAAGAACTTAAAATTCTGGAAAGTGACACTACAAATTTTTAAAGAACTAGCTAATACTCAACCAGTAAATACAATAACAAATTAAGACACCAACTGATAAATTTTAAAACAGACAAGATAGCATTAGGAGATATACCTAATGCTAAATGACGAGTTAATGGGTGCAGCACACCAGCATGGCACATGTATACATATGTAACTAACCTGCACATTGTGCACATGTACCCTAAAACTTAAAGTATAATAATAATAAAATAAAAATAAAATAAAACAGACAAGAATTAACTAAATAGAAAATCAGTAAACTGGAAGAGAGGTTAGAAGAAATTATGTGGGCCAGGGCAGTGGCTGACACCTATAATCCCAACATTTTGGGAGGCCAAGGTGGGAAGATCACTTGAGCCCAGGAGTTTGAGACTATCCTGGGCAACATGGCGAAACCCTGTCTCTAAAAAAATACAAAAATTAGACAGCCCTGGTGGTGTGCAGCTGTAGTCCCAGCTACTTGGGAAACTGAGGTAGGAAGATTGCTTGAGCTTGGGATGCGGGGGTTATGGTGAGCCAAGATGGAACCACTGCACTCCAGCCTGGGCAACAGTGTGAGACCACCCCACCCCCCATCAAAAAAAGAAAAGAAAGAAAGAAAAAAGTATCCTGAGTGGAGTACAGTGAGAAAAAAGATGAAAAATACAGAGTCAGAAATACAGAACAGTGGCCTCATTATTGTGACCTGAAAAGATTGAACAGGCTCTCATCTCTGGGACTTTGCACTTAACTGCTTCCTCTGCCTGAAATATTCTTTCCTAAAATAGATGGCCCACTCCCTTATTCAGGTCTCTACCCAATGTCACTTAACCAGAAAAAACTTCCCAATCACCCTGTCCCAAAATATTCTCTCCTTAAGCAGTTATCACCTAACATATATTTTATTTATTCATTAATGATCTGTATCCTCTCCCCTCACTAGACTGTATACTCTTTTTTTTTTTTTAAGTTCTGGGATACATGTGCAGAATGTGTAGCTTTGTTACATAGCTATACATGTGCCATGGTGGTTTGCTGCACCTATCAACCCATCATCTAGGTTTTAAGCCCCACCTGCATTAGGTATTTGTCCTAATGCTCTCCCTCCCCCTGCCCCCCACCCCCCAACAGGCCCGGGTGTGTGATGTTCCCCTCCCTGTGTCCATGTGTTCGCATTGTTCAACTCCCACTTATGAGTGAGAACATTTGGTGTTTGGTTTTCTGTTCCTGTATTAGTTTGCTGAGAATGATGGTTTCCAGCTTCATCCATGTCCCTGCAAAGGACATGAACTCATTCTTTTACAGAAAAAAAAAGAAACCCATTCAAAAAGTCGGCAAAGGCTATAACCAGACACTTCTCAAAAGAAGACATTTATGCCACCAACAAACATGTGAAAAAAAGCTCATCATCACTGGTCATTAGAGAAATGCAAATCCAGACCACAATGAGATACCATCTCACGCCAGTTAGAATGGCAATTATTAAAATGCCAGGAAACAACAGATGCTGGTGAGGCTGTGGAGAAATAGGAACTTTTTTTTTTTGAGACGGGCTCTTGCTCTGTTGCCAGGCTGGAGTGCAGTGGCATGATCTCAGCTCACTGCAACCTCCGCCTCCCGGGTTCAAGCGATTCCCCTGCCTCAACCTCCTGAGTAGCTGGGACTACAGGCGCGTGCCATCATGCCCAGCTAATTTTTTTGTATTTTAGTAGAGATGGGGTTTCACCATGTTGGCCAGGCTGGTCTTGATCTCTTGACCTCGTGATCTGCCTGCTTCGGCCTCCCAAAGTGCTGGGACTACAGGCGTGAGCCCTGTGCCTGGCCTAGGAACACTTTTACACTATTGGTGGGAGTGTAAATTAGTTCAACCATTGTGGAAGACAGTGTGGTGATTCCTCAAGGAAATAGAACCAGAAATACCATTTGACCCAGCAATCCCATTACTAGGTGTATACCCAAAGGATTATAAATCATTCTACTATAAAGACACATGCACACGTATGTTTATTGCAGCACTATTTACAACAGCAAAGACTTGGAACCAACCCAAATGCCCATCAATGACAGACTGGATAAAGAAAATGTGGCACATATACACCATGGAATATACACTCTTGTAAGAGTAGAGACTTTGTTCACTGCTGTTTTTCATCAGCATCTAGAAGATTTCATGACATAGCAGGCACTAAAAAAATATTGAATGAATGAATAAAAGAAAGAAAAAAGCACAATAACAAAAAGACTGGTCAACAACTTAAGGCAAGAATCTGCATAGAGTTTACACTAACAATAAAGCAAGTGTCAAGACTTTAAAAAAAAAACTTTCTACATGTCACATCAAGACATACCTCAACTTTAGTTTATTAAAGAGACCACCTTGAAAAATGTTGGGTTCTCTAAACCTTCCTCACCATCTGATTTCTAACTTAGCTGAAAACTAAATGTAAGAAAGAACTATCGCCCAGCGCAGTGGCTCACGCCTGTAATCCCAGCACTTTGGGAGGCCGAGGCAGGTGGTCAAGAGATCGAGACCATCCTGGCCAACATGGTAAAATCCCATCTCTACTAAAAATACAAAAAATTAGCCAGCGTGGTGGTGGGCACCTGTAGTCACAGCTACTCAGGAGGCTGAGGCAGGAGAATCACTTGAACCCTAGGGGTGGGAGGTTGCAGTGAGCCGAGATTGTGCCACTGCACTCCAGCCTGGCCACAGAGTTAGACTTCGTCTAAAAAAAAAAAAAAAACAAAGAACAAAAAAGAACTATCAGACTTGTCTCTCTAACCCAAGTTATTTTCTGCAAGACAGCCAATGTACTATCCTTCTACCCTATCACTGTACTTTTCACCACTTTTTATATCTAGGCAGAAAAATTAATCTTGAATGTTGAGTACATAGGATATAGTAGAGGAGCTGGTAGTGGTATGGTACATTCTGGAAGATACATAGAGTTTTGAAAAGCAAGGTAATACAGGCAGGGACTAAGAATAAAAATCCTGGCCGGGTGCAGTGGCTCATGCCTGTAATCCCAGCATTTTGAGAGGCTGAGGTGGGAGGATCACCTGAGGTCAGGAGGTCGAGACCAGCCTGGCTAACATGGTGAAACCCCCTTTCTACTAAAAATACAAAAAATTAGCTGGGTGTGGTGGCACATGCCTGTAATCCCAGCTACTCGCGAGGCTGAGGAAGGAGAATTGCCTGAACCCAGGAGGCAGCGGTTGCAGAGAGCCGAGATCACACCATTACACTCCAGGTTGGGCAACAAGAGTGAAACCACATCTCAAAAAAAAAAAAAAAAAGAATAAAAAAACCTAACAGTCAATGTTAGAAATAACGACAATAATAATAATAAAATACCCAACATTTATTGAGCACTTTGCATTGTTCTAAGCATATTTATTAACATTTAATTTTCAGGACAATACTAAGAGGCATTTAATTAATAAACAGAGTGACAGACAGACTACATAATTTACTCAAATTATTCAAGCTCCCTAGGTGGACAGAAACTGAAAGTCTAAATTTGAGCACCGGCTATCTAATCCTTAAGCCCAAGCTGTTAAGTAGTAAGCTGTATGATACAAATTAAAATTTTTAGCTAAGAAAAATAGAGAATATCCCGAAAAAGCAGGTAGACAGTATTTCCCAATGGATTCTTGGCAGAAACAAAGTAAAGCCAGGGTCAAATTATGGCAAAAATAAAGAATTATATTTTATAATCACACACTTATTTTTCATCAAAATGGGAAAAAATCCTACTTTATAATTTAAAAAAATGAAAACATGCTTTAAAATTTTTAAACTGTTCTTTCACATACACAACACAACCATATTAGAATATTTTAAAAGAATTTTTCTTTAGGAAAAATTTGAGAATTCTATTTAGATTGAAAATAAACATTGCACCACTATTCATAAATACAATGGCTTTAGCAAAGCCTCTACTGGTATTTTCTATTACGAGCATGGCTATGTATCTTATTCTCGATTGAATTTCCTAGTTGTTCCAGACAGAGGTTAGTCTCAAAATCATACCTTACTTGAAACCAGGATTAACTATAAATATCAAGAATATACCCTTTGACATATATTACCTTTCAAAAAATTTTGAGCTTTCAAAAGTCAAAGAACTGTGATTCTCCTTATTACTTATATAAAAATAGTCTGAGGCACATATAATTTGTTCAAATCAAATTGGTTCCAAAAATTAAAAGGACAATTTCTTTCCCTCTCCACCTCTACCAGTAAAATAAATTGATAAAATCACATAAAACAAGAAAGATATTTACATTTCTTTGTCTTTTCTGCAGATCTAGCACAGGTTTCTTTGAGTAGATTACATAAATGCCTTGTGGCATTATTCCTGAAACAAAGGAAAGAGTTTGCCTGTGTGTAATCTGATCTCAAAGCAAAATCACAATATATAAGTTATGAAATATATTGTTACAATTTTTAAGAAATTTTTAAAATATTATAATCTTTGGCATACATCACATTATTCATAAATGACTATATGAAGAAACAGTGGGTTGACTGTACTACTAGCAAAGATGATTTAGTAATTGCCTCCCTTTAAAAGTAAAAGTTCTAGTAACTGGCCACTAAAATAAATAAACAAATAAAAGTGACAGCTCCTTAACAAGTTTCTACCCAAGTTGCTATCAATAAACTTTCAGTAAACAGGTCTAGATTTGCCTAAGGAAAAATAATGAGAATAGGTTGGGCCATTCATTAACAAATTAATATATGTCTAACCTTCAAAACACAAAATAAGGTAACTTTCTGATTAGGCATTCATTATGTGAATGATGAGACCTGTGGCTATCTTGAAGTTACTAACACATATGGCAGTTAGACTTAATTTTCTAACTTACCATTTTTCTGTAGAAATAAACTGTTACATTTTCAAAAACAGGAATTTGAGTAAGAATTAACTTGGAACTAAGTTAAGTCCTGTTTTATAAGTACTGTACTCAAGACAGCAGTGAAACAGACAACATACATAGGTAGTTGTAGATACAGAATTATCAGGCATCTTTTTTGACACCAAGGAATGTTTATTCCTGATGCCTGACATTTTAAAAAGTGAAGTTATTAGTCAGTGACCACAGTTTGCCAAACACAAGAATGTACATCTTCCTTTTTCCATAGCACTCAGATATAATTCTACTTATAAATTCATATGATATAACGTATAGAAAGTGCTCAATATGTTTTTGAAAATTATTTTAGTAGTAAATTTGGAATAAAAAATGTGAAAAGAACAAATTCATTAAATTACTACTTACTCTTTTATTAAATCTTTATTTTCTTGTATTCCTTCTTCTAATTTCAAACTTACTTTTTCATTTCCAAACTAATTTATAAAACAGAAAAGTTCATCCCATTTTGCTTATTAGCAAAAATAAACACGAATATAATCATTAAGCAGTATTTCTTTACTAATACACAATGGTCTAAAAGAATTATTTTCTTTCCACATAAAAAGGAAACATTTTTGTAATAGCTTATGATTTCCCTTAAGAATATGGCCTTCATCAATCTAAAATAAAGAAGGCTAAATCATCTCCAAGAAACATTCAACAATATTTTAATGCAATATTATCTTCTCTAAATATTTTTGAAGTAATGTTTTTTTCTTTGTCCTAATACAATGTCACATTTTCTCAACATTTTTTTCACTTTATGCTACAGATAAAGTTACACAGTTTCGGCCGGGAGCAGTGGCTCACGCCTGTAATCCCAGCACTTTGGGAGGCCGAGGCAGGTGGGTCACGAGGTCTAGGAGTTCAAGACCAGCCTGGTAAATATGGTGGCATCCCATCTCTACTAAAAATATAAAAATTAGCTGGGCGTGGTGGCTCAAGCCTGCAGTCCCAGCTACTTGGGAGGCTGAGGCAGAAGAATCGCTTGAACCAGGGAGGCGAAGGTTGCAGTGAGCCGAGATGGTGCCACTGCACTCCAGCCTGGGTGACAGAGCAAGACTATGTCTCACAAAAATAAATAAAAAAAATAAAGTTACACAGTTTCAAATTTAAAGTGTTACCTACAACTATTGTAATCTAAGAGAATATATTTACATAAAACATCAATAGGAATAAAAATTGAAACTCTTTATAATAAATTAGAATCATTAAATCAATTTTTATATAAAGTGATTTATTATTTCCCTAATCATTTGCATTAAGCGTTATACAACTTGTCCTCTATGCTCATTCTTAAAGTTAAAATGTATCCAGTATTGATGTAACTTTTAAAAAGCATTATCCTTAAAATATTCATCACAAAAACAAGATCAATCCAATTTATCCCAACTAATACTCTACTTTCAACAGTATTATGATTAGATTTACTATACTATGTTTACAATGCAAAATTGTGTCATACTTGCAGTTCCTGAATGGCTTTTCGCTGTGCTTCAATTATCTTTCTGTTTTCTTGCAACTTACTTTCTTTCTGTCTCAGTTCAGCTTCTGTACTTACTTTCCATTTTTTTATCTTTTCAGCCTCCTTATACAGTTTTGAATACACTCTGCTCAATCCCTCTGAATTCTATTAAAATATGTTTTCAAAAATTAATTGTCCAAAATTCTAATATAACCAAACTACAGCTGCCTACTGAAAATATCCATATACTAATAGTTGAGACCAAATATCTCCTCAATTTAAGCACTAATAGCATACTGAAAGCCACATTAACTCTTTTAAACTACTAAGGCAATATTAACTACTTCATTAAAGTTATTGGTCACTTGACTAAATTATACCTTGCTGAATAAAATGAAATGGCTCCATAAAAATATTTTAGTTAGTGACAGAATCTGGCTGGTTAAAAGCTAAAATAAATCATCCTATAAGAAATCTATAAATCTTAACAATGGTCTTGAAACACTTTGATTATACAAACAGTTTGAAGATTCACTAAAGGACATGAAGTTTAAAATATAATGACAAGAAAAATAAAAGTGAAGACAAGATATAATTTTCATCAAGTCTGATTTTTATATAGATTTCCTGCCTTTTTAAAATCCACATTATATTGTAAATATCAGAGATTTTTAGTCACATCAATTTTTGCTGGTTGACAACTTTTTCTTATAAAAATATATAAATAAGTTCTATATATTTTAAATTCTGTGATACCATAATCACAGCAACAAACATACAGTACCTTACCAGGCTATGGAATTTCTCTTCATTTTAAAGACACTATATGCCATAAATAAGAAATATTTTTATAACTAAAATCAAAAGTATATAGCATGTCCTACAAATTCCTTATACAATAAACCAGTCAACCAGTCAATTTCGTCTATTAATTAAAGGCTGATTTTGTAAAATACTCTCTTGATAATATACTTTTCAGGTATAGTACTCGTTTCCCCTCTTCTTGATTTCATGGTTTAAAATTAAATTGCCTCTACATAAATGGAACTTTCATAACCCAAAAAATACAGAAGCAGAAAAAAAGGTTTTAAAGGATATATCTTAAAACGTTAATCAAATAATAATCCTTTTGAAGCTTCAAAAGAAATATACATATAGGTAATAAGTTATATTCCAATTACAAGAAATTTAATATGAATGGGAAATCTTCTGACCTCCAAATCAGAGTCTTTTAGTCCTTCCTGATAGTGACAGTCAGAATTACCAACCTAAAAAGATAGATGTTTCTATAAGAAAATACTTCTGATAAGAGCTTCTAAATAATAACAATTAAATACAGAAGACTAGTAATGCAATAACTAAAGACTTTTTTCGTCTTCAAATAAGCAGTTCATTACCTAAACAGATTATATCTACATGTACTATGCTTAACTGACCTGCTCAAGCACGGGCAAGAAATTAACTTTTTGTAAAGCAGGATCTGCAAGATAAAAGACAACAGGTATTAAATACGCCAACATCTTTTTCTCTTTCTTTTTTTTTTTCTTTTTTCTCTTTTTTTTTTTTTTTTTTTTTGAGAGAGAGAGGACATCTGGCACTATTGCCTAGACTAGAGGGCAGTGACCCATCATGGCTCACTGCAGCCTCAAAGCCTCCATCTCTAGGGCTCAAATGATCCTCCCACCTTAGCCTCCCAAGTAGCTGGGACTGCAGGCGCATGCCACCATGTCCAGCTAGTTTTGGGGGTGGTGGGGTTTGTTTGCTGGTTTTTTTTTTTTTTTTTTTTTTTTGTACAGACAGGGTCTCCTTATGTTGCCCAGGCTGGTCTCAAACACCTGGCCTCAAGTGATCCCCCTCCATCAGCCTCCCTCCCACAGTGCTGGAATTACAGGTGTTAGCCACCGTGTCCAGCCTTATTTTTTATATTAAGTATTATATCTAGCTTTTGTGTCAATTATACTTATATAATACTTATGTTACATTTTCAATAACTATCGATGTATGTAACACAATGTTTCTATATAAGCTGATACACTGCTTTTCCATGCTCCTACCTGAATCAATGTTTTCCCCATTTTTGGAGAGATTAGTCTTTGCAAATGGAAACTCAAAATCATCTTCAGTACATTTGTTGAAACTCTAGAGACACAAAGAAGTTCTTAAATATTCTGTTTCATACCACTCTGATATACTAATAGTGTAATATATACATATGTAATATACATCTGCTTAAAAAGGTTACTATAATTGCAAATCCTTTAATGTACATACAGTGTTTAAAATATCAAATGCCTTTTCTATATAAACAAAGAAAAAATTCTAATTAGATATTTCCACTTGTAAGATGAAGCTAAACTATAAATTACTCAATATATGGCTTTGTAGGTATTCGAGAATAATAGTAAATCTAACTAGTAGTATAGAACAATATTAGTAGATTTCTTCAGTTTATGATTTCCCTTGATAGAATTAAAGATTGTCTTTATTGAATAGCATTTAATAATATATTATTGCCTATAGCAGCCACAAGAATTGTTTTACAGCATATACAAGTAAAATATTCATTGCATCATTGCATCTCCAATATAAGGATCCACATGATAAATTTTTTTAATTAATTTTTAAAGCTCTGTTTCACCTGAGAAACTTGGTATAATTCCTCCTATCCAATGATAACACCATTACATAAATGAATTTCCCTCTTTGCCCTATCCACTAGGAAGCTCAGAGCCAAATCTGAAGCTCAGTCACAACACGAATTATTATTCATATATAGGCATTTGTCCAAATAGTCCTCATTTTTCTTGATAATTTTCCTAATTTTATCCTAACATATTCTACTATCTCGTAGTATCTGTCCTATAAGTTGCCACGAATCAAATACGGAAAGAAGGAGAATTAAAATAAGCACGTTCCACTATGTATGCAGAGTTCTACGGCAGCAGTCATTATTTAAATGAATGATGCCTACACAATAATGCTCACTGTTCATTTAAAGCAATGGGATTCAAAATTCTTGGGTAAATGAGACCATTTATTGAGAAGAAATAATTATAAAACACCACCAGGAAGAAAGTACACTTTTCTTCATTTCCCTAAAGTTAAGAAGAGTCCAATTAAGAGTCACATGGAAATTTACCTTGAAGAAAGTGGAATCGCCTCCCAGGGTCTGAGGTTTCACCGCAGACACCTGACTGCTGCTTGATCTCGGTGGTACGAACAATGCAAAGGGCTTTTGCTTTTCCATTTTCTCTGTTACGGTTGTAAATATCTACTGCCCCGGGGGGGCGGGAGGGGAAGGAAAGTTTTTTTTCACCGAGTGTCATGAATACACTATGTATTCTTTAAAGTGATGTTTACAAACTAAATGGCTAAAAAAAAAGGAATCCACGGGGCTCTCGCTACAGTGGAGCCCTACAACGTCGCTTACCGCGGAGTGGGCAACGGAATAAACCCTCGTTTCCTTCTCCCTTTCGCCCTACCGCCCGCTGCCACGCTGGCCTGAAAAGAAAGCCCGTTCCCTTCTCCTGTCCCATTAAATTCCATCACATCGCCAGGAGGAACTGTCTTAAGTTCCTGGACCACTACCCAAAAGAAAACAGCGGAGGGCTGCGGCGGGGAGGTGCAGTAGCACAACATCGCCCCGCTCTGGGCTCAGTCCCCAGGAAAATAACTCGGGGCACCTGCCCTCACCTTTGAAGAACTAGCGGGAAACCGTGGGTTCTGTGCCCACGCGAACTGCTACATACGGTCTATGAGGGCAACAGAAAGAACCAATGGCTCCCGCCTCAGAACCTCAGAAAAGGCGGGAAATCGCTCAGCCTGAGCGGCCCGGAGCGCGTGGGCCCCGGGCGGCTGGCAGTTCAACGGCTAAATAACCGTCGCTGTGTGGGCTTGCCAGGCTCCCAGGACCTGAATCTCGCGAGATTTCCCTAATCGCTAGGAACAATTGTTTCCCGGATTCTGTATTTCCTTGGAGTGGAAGTTCTTTAGGCTTCTGCTATTGTCAAAGAATGCTAGGGAAACTGTCAGGCTCTATGACAGACTGAAGCTGAGAGTGAAAAATCCATTTCTGCCCTCCAAGAGGTCACAATCTTAGGAAGGAAACAGATGGGCAAACAATTAAAATGTCCTATAATCATTTAGGGTAATTCCTATGATAAGGACGTAGGCAAAGTGGCTCTTAGGGTGGCTTGGGGAGTCAGGAGAAGCTCCACAGATGTGGTATAGTTCTGTTACTGTTTCACATAAGAATGAGTGAATGGAGAGTTGGCTAGGCGGGCCGGTGGCTCACGCCTGTAATCCCAACACTTTGGGAGGCCAAGGCGGGAGGACTGCTTGAGCCCAGGAAGGAGTTCAAGACCAGTCTGGGCAACGTAGTGAGACCCTGCCTCTCCTAAAATAGCCGGGTGTGGTGGTGCGCACCTGTGTCCTCAGCTACTTAAAAGGCTGAGGCGGGAAGATCACTTGAGTCTTGGAGACAGAGGCTGCAGTGAGCTAATAATCCTGCCACTGGCTCCAGTCTGGGCAACAGAGCCAGATTCTGTCTCAAAGAGAGAGAGAGAGGAGACAGAGGAGAGAAAGGAGGCAGAGGGAGGAAACGGAGGAGAGTAGGGAAAGAGGGGAGAGAGGGGAGAGCGGGGGAAGGGGGAGAGGGAGAGGGAGAGGGAATGGGGAAAGAGTATTGCTGGCTGACGCAAGGCGAGCAAAGGCATTGGAGTTGTGAGAGAGATTATTACAACTAAGTCCAAGAAGCGTTCTGTGTGAGGATTAAGTGGGGAAAATGGCAAGAGATGACACTAGAGATTTCAAGAGCAAGTATTAGCCGAGCGCGGTGGCTCACTTCTGTAATCCCAGCACTTTGGGAGGCCAAGAAGGGCGGATCACTTGAGGTCAAGAGTTTGAGACTAGCCTGACCAACATGACGAAACCCTGTCTCCAGTAAACATCCAAAATTAGCCAGGCACGTGGCACACGCCTGTAGTCCCAGTGACTCGGGAGGCTGAGGCAGGAGAATCGCCTGAACCCCCGGGGAGGCAGACGTCGCAGTGAGCCGAGATTGCCCCATTGCATTCCAGCCTGGGCCACAGAGTGAGACTCCGTCTCACAAAAAAAAAAAAAAAAAAAAAGAGAGAAAGAGAAAGCAAGTATTATAGAAAGGCCTTGGAAAAGTGTCTGGATTTTTGACTTTGTGGACGGAGATCTTGAAGAATTTTGAGCAGAAAGGATTACACGATCGAGTTCAGAAGAAAACTTGTAGTATGAAGAATGGTTTAGGCTTAAGAGACCAGAGTAGCGAGACAGTTTTAATAGCCTGGGTGAGACATGAGGACTTGAGCTATGACACGGACAGTGGAGTGAAGAGGAGGTGTCAAATGTAAAAGATATTTAAGAAGTAAAATTAGTAGAATTTTATAACTTTTTAGTAGTAAGAAGTGAAAGAAAGGGAGCAGTCTAAGATGACTACCTGGTTTCAGGCTTGAGTAACTAGCTATTATCATCATCCTAGTGCTAAGTTACTTAATTTTGAGCAATAAAATAATGAGCTCCATTTTGAATATACCATTGACTTTGTTTTCCAACTTTCTCTGGGCATCATAATATAATTGATGCTTTTTCTAAGGACTTTAGCAATATTTTTAATAGCTCATTTTGTATAATCAGAAACAATCATTCCCGATAAAATAAAATTTTTGAGCAGTAAAGGATGATCCAGTTTAACTCCTTCATTTTACTATTTAGGGAAACTGAGTCTAGATACTCTGAAAAAGATAAGATACTCCCTCAGAGAGATGATACTAAGAATATACACAAAGTACCACCAGAGGCAATAATTGATCTAATTAAAAATTTTTATTCAATTGAGGCTATAAATCTAATATCCCAATATTTTTAAAAGTTTTACAACAGTGAAAATTTCAACTATGGTCACTTTTTTCTTTATTGAAAACCAAAATGCTACTCCTAGTGTTATATTAAATTTACCATATTTTATTTACTTAAAATCAGTCTTCCAAAGCAATAGTGCCACCATAGAATTTCTCACTTCCATGTATTTCACATGAAATTTAATTTAACATATTAACATCCTGTCCATATAAGGACTTAAAAATTTGTAGAAAGATTTCTGGTTTTAAGAACTTCGTTTTTTTCCACAAAAGATGTTGGCAAAAATGTTAAAATATTCTGTGCCAGAATGAGAAGTAAATTATGTTTAATTTCCTAATATATGTTAAAATATTTTAATAATCTGTATTTTAATTTTTCATTATTCTTGCCATCACAAAATTCCTACTTTGTTTTTATAAAGCATCTCTTTTTTTAAGGCATTAAGAAATGATAAGATTTGAACAGTTTTGCTCGTCTTTAATAATTCACAAAATGCTGTAACAGGAATAGGTTTAAAATGTTACCTCCTTATTCCATCAGTCTGGCTTTAGTTAATGAAGGTCACAAACTCTCTTTATTGTGTTGTTGTTGTTGTCGCTGTTGTTGTTGAGATGGAGTTTTGCTCTTGTCGCCCAGGCTGGAGAGCAATGGCGTGATCTCGGCTCATTGCAATCTCCACCTCCCGGATTCAAGCTACTCTCTGGCCTCAGCCCCTGGAGTAGCTGGGATTACAGGCGCGCATCACCATGCCTGGCTAATTTTTGTATTTTGTTTTGTATTTTTAGTAGCGACGGGGTTTCGCCATGTTGGTCAAGCTGGTCTTGAACTCCTGACCTCAGGTGCTCCACTTGCCTCAGCCTCCCAAAGTGTTTGGATTACAGGTGTGAGCCACCACGCCCGGCCAAACTCTCTTTATTTCAATTACAACTGTTTGCACTAGCTAGCCTTTCTTATATCCATAAATTTATATATTTTCATTCAATGTTTTACTGAATGAAAAAAGTGAAGCTTCTTCAGGTAATAACTCTCTGGCTCCTTTTGAAGGAAACATGAGGAAACAACTTTTGCTTCTTTTGAGTCCAATCATAAAAAGAATCCTAGATATCCCTCAGTGATAGTTCTATATTCCACAAAATTTTCATAAAATTTTGATGAGCATTGATGATGTCCATTTTACGGTCATATATTGGTAACACAGCAATACCGTTCATGTTGTCCAAATCAGTCATCCTATATGATAAAGTCATCCTATATGATAAAGTCATCCTATATGGTAAACAATTCAGATTTAGGAAGTTTAAAACAAACTACAACATTCTAAAATTTCAGCAAGAATACAAATTTCACTTCTCAGAGAGTAAAGTAGCCAATTTGGGGTCCTTTGTTTTCCAAGTGCTAAGTATTTCTGAATGGTTATAATTCAGAGTTCTCAGTTCAGTATGCTTCCATATGAGATGGGCAAAATGCTATGGGTCTTCTGGATGATACATTTTTGAATACTTATACAATATTTGTAAAACTGGTTCTTATAAATTTTCCATATATTGCTTATTTTTAAGGCATGGACGATCTGAAAAATATCATCATATTTATCTTAATGTATATTGGAAAGTAGCAAAAGATAAATAATCTTTTAAAACAATGCAGCTTTTAAATAACAAAAAACAAATATTTACTGAGCCCTTAATATATGCTAAATATTATGCTAAGTGACTTGCCTCTATGTATTATTTTATGTAGTAGTCACAATACTGTATGAGGTAAGTTCTATTATTATCACCATTTTCCAGATGAGCTTCTTGAAACCTAGAAAATTAAGTAATTTCCACTAAGTTACATAGGAAGGAAGGGTCAGTAAGTAGTTATAAGAATATAAAAGCAGCCGGGCCAGGAGCAGTAGCTCACACCTGTAATCCTAGCACTTTGGGAGGCCGAGGCTGGTGGATCACCTGAGGTCAGGAGTTTGAGACCAGCCTGCCCAACATGGTAAAACCCCATCTCTACTAAAAATATGAAAAATTAGCCATGTGTGGTGGTGGACGCCTGTAATCCCAGCTACTCGGGAGCCTGAGGCAGGAGAATCACTTGAACACAGGAGGCAGAGGTTGCAGTGAGCCAAGATTGCGCCACTGCACTCCAGCCTGGGTAACAAGATCGAAACTCCAACTCAAAAAAAAAAAAAAAAAAAAAAAGAATATAAAAGCAGCCAAGGGCTTACTTGAAACTTAAAAAAATTCAGTAATTTTCCCAAGATCAACAGTAAATAAAAGGCAAAGTTGTTCAAGTATCCAGCTGTAAAATATAAGAGCCAATCAATAATTTATTAATGTTTAGGCAGCATTCATTCATCCATCCAGTCACTGTGCTAGCGATACAGCGGTGAACATAACAGACAAAATTTTCTCCCCTCACTGAGTTTATATTCTGGGTCTGAGAGCAGTTGGGGAGGAAAGAGACATATACACATTTTTTAAAGTAATAACGTAATATAGCAGAGTGGTGTGTTATAGAGGAAAAAAAACAGGGAGGAGGATAAGAATTTAGGGTAAGGGGTGGTAACTAATTTTTCAAAGGCGAATCAGAGATAAAATGGCATTTAGCGGAAATCTAAGATGGTGAATAAGGGAGTCATGTGACTATCTGGGGAAAGAGGTTTCCAGGCAGAAGACTTATCAAATACACTAGAACCTGTACCAGGAGCCTGCTTGAAATTTTTTAGGAATATCTGCGTCAAAAGCAGCATGGCTGGAATGGAATAAGCAAAAGGAATAGTAATAGGCAATGATGAAAAGAACTTTGGCTTTAATCTGTGTAAAATAGGAAGCCATTTAAGGGTTATGAGCTGAGGGGTATCACATGATCTGACTTACATTTTCAAAGAATTACTCTGGCTCCTGTATAGAGAATAGACTGTAGAGAGGCAAGGGCAGAAACAGAAAAAGCCAGTTAGGAGAGTAGTTTAAATTAGGATGGTAAAGATAGAAATAGTAAGTTCTGGTTAAGTTCTGGATATATTTTGAGAGCAGAGCCAGTGGGATTTGTGGTATATTTGATATGGGTATAAGAGAAAGAAAGAAGTTAAGGATGACAAAAAATTTTAGCTTATACAACTTCAAGGATGGAAAATACCATTTAGCAGAGATGGAGAACAAATATAGAAGGATGGAGGGGGAGGCAACTAGGAATTCACTTTCAAGCGTGTTAAATTTGATATGCCTACTAGATATCCAAGTTAAAATCTTGAATAGGCTATTTAATGGGGTTTGGGAGAGCACTCCAGGTTGGTATATATAATAAATTTAGGAGTGGTCAGCATATACATGGCCTTTAAAGCCATGAGATAGGATGAAATTGCAAAGAAAGTGAGTACAGAAAAAAGAGAACTGAGCCCTGGAATATTCTTGTCATTTGTCTCTGTGGGAGATGAAGAGGAATTAACAAAATAAACTGAAAGTGCAACCACTAAGGAGAAAAATCAAGAGTGTGTGGGGTCTTGGAAATCAAGAAAAAAACATGCATGTCAAGAAGGAAGAAGTGATCAACTGAAGCCAAGTGATGAAAGTGTTCTAAGAGAGGGGACGTGATCTGTCAAATGTAGCTCATGGGTCAAGTAAGCTGAAGACTAGGAATTGACCACTGGAATCAGCAATGCCAAGATCCCAAAGATATTGACTGGTTATGGTGATGTGGAGAGGAGAGGACATAATCTTACTGTAGAGGGTTTAGGAGTTAACAAAAGGAATGGAGAAGGGAGTATACACAACCCTCTAAAGAAATTTTTTTCTGTAAAGTGGAACAGAGAAATAAGAGTAGGTGAAAGTGGATATGAGGTCAAGAAAGCGTTTTTTTAAGTTGCAAAAAATTATAGCATGTATATAAGCTTAAAGGAATGCTCCTGTAGAGAAGGAAATTGTGATAAAACAAAATTGGTACATTTGGCTGTAATTAATAATTTAGTAACCACAAACCTCATCATTTCATTGCCAAATGTAATACAGATTTTTACCACTGAATGGTTTTTACCTGAAAAAAAGTTTTTACCTGAAAAAACAATTGTTGCTGCAAGCAGAGCATATTCAGTATTAGTTACATCAAGTTTGCTCATTCTTTTGTAGAAGTAAAACAGTGTGTAATAAATTCTTCAGTAACACCCAAAAAACTGATACGAAAATGTATTTTCATCCAAACATAGGGTAGAATCAAACATATGGAAATTATCATTGTATCTCAAAGCAGTATAAGAAAGTTAAACATTATATACAAATTTTTGCATCCAATATAATATTTCATATTGAGTCATATTACCAATTAGAGTAGTAGAAGGACATTCTTCATTGTAAAATTTTTCCATAGAACAAATAAGACTTCTATCACCACTCCTATTGTGACAATTTGGTGTATAATCTGAATGATTTAATATTCTCACAGAACCTAGTAAAAAGGAAAAATATAAAGCCTGATTTTTTTTCTAATCTTTAAACTCAATCTTTCAGAATCCAGCATAGTTGTTAGATCAGAAATACTCCCAGCAAATGATAGATTTATAATTTTTATTACTGAAACAAGAAGTTAAATTAATAGTTTTTAGTTTATAGAAAGATTGTATAGGAGACCCTCCAAAAATGTGTTTTCCATGATGCTATATAATAAAAAATAGCTTTTTATAAAACTATAGCTTTTTATGAAGAGCTATTATTAAGTAATTTTGCCTATAGTAACTGGCAAAATTAAAATAAAAAATAGCTCAATGTTATACAATTTGTTGCTAAATTTAACAGTAACTATTAACATTAAAGTTAGAAAAAAATCCATTTTTACTTTCAGAGGCTGATTGTTTCTGACTGTAAAGTTGGGCCCCATGGAGAAATATCACTTCAGTTTTTGATCCCTTCTGTAGTGCAGTTTGATCCTCATTGGCCAAATTTTCAAATCCTTTAAAGAGAAGATCACATAATTGTTTGAAATCGATAATCAAAAGATAATTTTCAGATGTAGTATTTTAACATTTTAAATTATTCATATAATAGTATGAATCCTAAATGCTCCCTTAGAATAATCATAATATGTTATTTCAAATTTGAAATAAATTCTTGATTCCACATGGTAATATTTTGGGGCACTTTTATCAGAACTGAATAATATTTTTCCTGTGGCAAAAGCAAATTAAACATAGTTGATTTAGCCTTGAAGAATTTATGTTTACGATGAGATATCTGTACATGTAAATAGATAGCTAAGTTTTGGCCAACAGCGGTTTGATTTTTCAGTATTGTACAGGGAATTTTCTTTGTTACATGCATTATAGAAAAAAAAAAGTCATTTTCCAAAAATAAGCAATTAACCTTTTGATTGTCTTAACTCTCAAGTCTTTGAAGTCATTTTAATAATTTCACTTTTTTATTTTTAATTCTTATGGGTATATTGCAGGTATATATATTTATGGGGTACATAAGATATTTCAATACAGGTATACAATGTGTAATAATCACATCAGGGAAAATGGGTATCCATCACCTCAAGCATTTATCATTTCTTTGTGTTACAAATATTCCAGTTATAGTTTTGTGGGGGTTTTTGTTGTTGTTGTTTAGAGACAAAGTTCTCACTCTGTCGCCCTAGAGTGCAGTGGTGTGATCACAGCTCACTGCAACCTGGAACTCCTGGGCTCAAGCAATCCTCTAGCCTCAGCCTTCTGAGTAGCTGGGACCACAGGCACACACCACCAGGCCTGAGATTTTTTTAATTTTTTGATGAAATGGGGTCTTGCTGTGTTGACCAGACTTGTCTCAAACTCCTGGGCTCAAGTAATTCTCCTGCCTGGGCCCTCCCAAAATGCTGGAATTACAGGTGTGAGCCACTGCACTAGCCTCTTTTAGTTATTTTTAAATGTACAATAAATTATTGTTGACTGTAATCAACATGTTGTGATATCAAATACTAGATCTTATTAATTCTAACTATATTTTTGTACCCATTAACCATCCTTACTCCTCTCACCACACTACTCTTCCTAGCCTCTTTTATCTGAATTCTACTCTCTGAGCAGTATTTTTTAATATTTAGATTTTCACCCATCTGATTAAAGCAGACAAAATAAACACGTTTTTGCATTGAGAGGCAGCTTTGTGAGCCCAGGAGTTTAAGATCAGCTTGGGCAAAATGGTGAAACCGTCTGTCTACAAAAAATACAAAAATTAGCCGAGCATGGTGTGCATGCCTATAGTCCCAGCTACTCAGCAGGCTGAGGTGGGAGGATCACGTGAGCCCGAGAAGTCAAGGCTGCAGTGAGCCGTGGTCATGCCACTGCACTCCCGCCTGGGCAACAGAGTAAGACCCCGTCTCAAAAAAAAAAAAAAGAAAAAGAAAAAAGAAACAAAACATTGGTGAAAAAATAGAGGGTTTTTTTCCTTTTCCTAAAATATCCACTTCCCTTAAAACAGGGAACTTTTTATAAAATTAACTTAAGTATTAAATTAATTTTTCCCAAAGGTAATTACCTGGGAGCCCCTTGGTAAAATTCATTAGCCCACGTATGTGTAGGACTGCTGTCTCTGAGAGTTGCAAAAAGCTCAGTTCAGGATTTGTATGTTCCTGCAGCTAACCCATAAAAAAGCAATAAGATTAATGAATTTTATTTTTTCAAGTATCTTTTGAAATTTTAAACTGTTATGCTTATGCCTTTGTTTCCTAACATAATTATACATTATTTCTTTCAGTAATGAACACATACAAATTTGTTTCTTCTAAAGGAATGGTATATTTTTGATGAGCAGCCACAATGTTATTAATGAGCTGATGTTCCTCTTCAGTTAGTTCCATGCTTTCCTGAATCTATAAGAAAATATAGGAGGAAAATTATAAATATAGAATTCATAATTATTAAACAAAACACCATAATTAAAGAAACAAATTTTATAAGAAAAGCCTTGCCACTTTTCCAGGTCTAGTGGTGGATGATAGAAAACTGTGGTCTACTCCTTCCTCTTCCACTTTGATGTTAGAGTAAAAATGATTCTTCTCCTTAAAGTTCTTTTGAAGTCTCTTTAATTTACATTGGATTTCTGTGAGCAAACCTGTGTTATTACAAAATTCATATAAAATGTTTCTGGTATGACAGATAACATGATAGGATTAAAATTCTCTTATATTGTACATGTATATATACATATATCATCATAGACTTGTCTTTTTACAAAGAATCCTTCTTTTGGGCAAGTATGTACATAGCAATTACATTTACTACATTACTTTCTCCTTTTCATTCCACAACTATCTTGCCTACTTAAAAGTACACAGTGATCCTAGACATAAATTATACATTAATTTTAAATCTCCAAATTATAAATTTAGACTGTTTAATATTAGAACAATTTTCACATGAATTATATTTTGGAAACAACATAAAATATCAACTCATAAAGCAGTTGAACTACCTTAGCTACAGGCTTTTATCTTTGATTTTTACATCATACGGTCAAGAGAGTATCTTGTGGTGTTCAAAATCAGCTCAGTCAATTTTTTTCTTATAATCAAGACAAGGCAGTGGACACTCTTTATAAAGTGAACAATTTTTATTTTTGACTTGCCACCTTTACACATCTTTGAATCTTCAACTAGAACTTCTACCTGAAGAGCAACAGTTGTTGTAAACAACTACTAAAACTAACCAAATACTAATCTTTATCATTTATTATGTTCGTCATTTTTTCATAAGTGTTTAAAACATACCAATCACATAAAAAGTATATCAGGAGCTGAGGTAGAAAAAAAACAAAAGCCTTAGCCTTTTTCTAAATTATTTCATTATTTTGTTGGGAAACAAGAATATATCAAAATATGAAGCCATTTAAGGAATATCAAATATTAAAATAATTAGAACTGAATACACAAATGCAAAAATTATATAAAGAAAAGGAGTCATTAGAATCAGAGGGAATTAATTGTGGGGAGGCTTACTAAAGAGGTATATTCGAAAGAGGTTTTAGTTATGAGAAAGAAGAGTACCCTAAAGGAAAAGGGAATGGCAGAGAAGTGAAGATAAGTCATGAAAGGGTGAAAAATAAATTCATAAAGTCTTACACAGGCACAAGAGGAAATGGTGGTAAAGAATTTCAACTCCGGAAAGATTTCAAATTAACAAGAATTAACTGTTTGGAAAGAGAAATTATAGACTCCTTTAAAGAAAGGAGCCATGCAGGAGTTTGAGAACAGCCGGGGCAACATGGTGAAACCCCATCTCTGCAAAAAATATAAAAATTAGCCAGACGTGGTGTATGTGTCTGTAGTCCCAGCTACTCGGGAGGCTGAGGTGGGAGGATCACCCGAACCCAGGAGGTCGGGTCTTCAGTGAGCTGTAATCACACCACTGCACTCCACAGACTGAGCAACAGAGTCTGTTTCAAAAAAAAAGGAAAAAGAGTCCTTTCAAAAAAAAGGAAAAAGAAAAAGAAAAAAAATAAGGAGCCATGTCAAAATGGAGTCCATGATATATGGGAAAAGGGCATGTTTTTAGTTACATCCAAAGCAAGAAATGAGACTCACAGCTTGGTGCCTGTATGTAACATTGACGACAACTTAAAGGAAACAAGTCAACCTTTTTGGACAGCACAAAATAAAATCGTCATCTAAATGGGTGAAAAAATTCTTTAAAGGCAAGTGTTCTTAATGCATTTATATCTCTTCAACTGAAAAACATTAGTTTCTATAGAATTGAACTATAGTCTGATATTGAAGGAATAGCAGATAATAAGGGAAATGTCATTAGAAGTCAGAAGGCTTCATGATGATTTTCAAAAAGAGGCAGAAAGATAAATTTCATACAAACTACATCTGAACAATTTGTTTATGGAAACTCAAAAGGAAAAGCAATAATCAGTGAAACCCAGTATAAATTAACAGAACAACTAATCATGTCAGCTTAATTTCAATTCTGTCTTGGACAGGATTCTTAGAATGGAAGATCAAGGAAATACTTTAGACAAAGTATATATGGAATTTAACACGTCATTTCACAAGTCCTCTTAATATATGCTTAGAGCCAGGATGGAGATGTAGGTTGGATTCAAGATTGTTGGTGTAAAGTAATAACTACTTGAGGAACCATATTCAAAGAAAGTTGATAAATAGATGAATGCCAGTCTATAAGAATATCTTTAATGGTAAGTCATAAGGTTTCATATTTCATCTAGTTCTAGACAATATTTTAAACCACATTATGGATCAAATTGTCAATGTTATCTTAAATAACCCAAACATCATATGACAAAAAAAAATTTTTTAAAGCTCTTCAGACTGAATATTATGCTGAAATGTAACAAAGGAAAAGTTTACTGAGGATAGATATTAAGACCTGCACATGATGTCAGTCCCTGACTTTTCCAATGCTCTTTAGCAGGAAGTGCTAGTATCTTTAACCTGCAGGGTCGGCTTTGCAATGTTTTTGAACCAATCTTGAATAACATGAAGGGGGACACAGTCACACACATTGTATTTCTGACTGTAGCACCACATAATGTTTAACATAACCAATACTGGAGTTGGTCAGCATGCCTGGATTTGAATGTTGGCTCTACCACCTAGTTAGCTATGTGACTCTATGACTTGCTTTCCTCATCCATAAAATGGAATGATAAAATGCGTATTTCATTGTGGTTATAGTGAGAATTAAGTAAGACATGTGGAAAATGGTCGGTTCTATTTTTTATTTTTATTAGCTTTCTGTTCAGCTCCCCAGTGAGAGTGAAACCTTCTCTTGAGCCCTAACCTATTTTTCTAGTGGCCTATAAACATTCTTAGATCTCACCAGCTCCCCTGAAAGTAGAGGACTTGGTCTCCTATGTCTGCAACCTTTGGCTAGGATTTTAATTCACCAATAATCTGGAACCATGACATTACAACTCATCTGACTTCAAATAACTTCCACTACCTGGGATATCCTACGGTAATCATACCTCAGAGTGTGGTTAGGGCACACTCTTGCTAATAAATCAAATTTGTCCTTGGCATACAACTTTTGAACTTTGTAGACTGAACTGGTTAATAACAGTAAATTAATAGCAGTACATGTACAAGCAAAAGGAGGTAGTCTGTCAACTCTTACTTAGCTCAATATGAGATAATAGTTTCAGGGTCCAGCCTTACTAGCAGCCAATAAGATTGAGCTGAGATTAAAACAGAGAAAAAGGGATCTACAGAGCAGCCACCTTTAAAAGCCAATGTGTTCTTAAACTATATTAATATACCTAACCCATAGTACCTATAAAGACTGAATTCCACTCTGCTTTGCACATGTTTGATTACCATGTTTGGTAATGGACATGATACTTTAAAATGAGAGAAAGGAATTCATGAGGAACAAGATAGCTATATTCAGATACTTAAAGTATCATCATATGGCAAGGGAATTAGGACTCCAAAGGAAAGAAAGTAATGTCGTACAAGCTCTGTTTGCACAGGCTTCTATAATTACTTACGAAAGTGAAAAAAAAAAGTATATTAGTTCAATTTAATGGTGAGTGTAGTATGAATATCTATGGTAATGGTGGCAGGATCATAAAAACAAAGTCATGCATTACTTTAGGGCAAACGTGGGGCAACCCTCAAATCACTAGGTCTTGACAATTTCAAATTTTACCTGAGTCCCATGCTCATATAAAATAGCGAAAGCTAAAGGAAGCTTCCCATCCTTCTATGTTCTGGAAAATGGCTTCCTGCAAAGAACTACCTTTCCCAATCTGACTTAGGTAAGACTCGTGGATGCCCCTTTGTTTACCTATGACAAAGGCAGACACAGACCATGCAAATTCACATTCTCTGCTTCCTGAATGATTATCTTAACTGTTTTATCCCCACTGATCAATCAAAACAAAATATGTATCAATAAAACTTCGGCTAACCTTCATTTCTTGCTCCAGGCCCTGAAACTTTGATCCACCCTAAGCCTGAGCCAGCAAACATAGCTTTCTGAGACTAGGCTAGACTCAGAGTAAAACATTCTCTGATACATTATCTGATCGTATCACCTTTTTATCCTACTCTGTAATCAGTTCTTTCTAGCTTTATTTATTCCTTTCTATAAAACTCTTTTTTGCCTAACTCTTGAATTGCTTGTGTATCTTTTAACTACAGCATTCTTCCTATTGCAGTAGTCCCCCTTGCCCTATTGCAAAAGTCCCTTCCCCACTTGCAGTGCGCCTTTCAAATAAAATATCTCCATTGTTCTGTGTTTTATTTGACACATATAGATTTAAGCAGACCTAAGTCTAGAGAGATATGCACATTGTTCTGTGAACACACCTCTCAGATAAATAGGCACCAAATGCTTGAGAAGCAAGTGTACTAGCTTGGTGTACTCCATAGGAATCACAAAGTTTTAATGATATGCCGATTACTTTACTGGGACTTCTGTATTCTATGAAGATAGGAATGTACTGTGTATTTAATACTTTTGGTTCATCTTTTTCCAGTTCCATCATTTCAGTTGTATGCTTATGGAATGAAACCAAGCCACATAAAAATCCAGGGCTTTCCTGATGAAAACTCCTTTTACCTAGAATATGGGGTCGGACAGCCAGGAATTCAAATGTAGAAGGATAAACGAGAGAGAGAGAGAGGCATAGAAAGATGCAGTGGGAGACTGGAAAGCATATAAATAACATTTGAATAATGTTTATATTCATATTCCATGACAGCAACACTCATATAGGTTCTCTTTTTTCAATTTTGGAATAATTCCTTCAAGTTTAGAGGAAAGGAGGACTGATTTCATTTATGGATTGTCCTGGGAGAAAATGAGTTCCCTTTCACATAGGTTTTCATGTATAGGTTAAAAGACAACTTACCAGGGATCGCTAGGAACTGAATTGTATCCTTCAAAATTCATATATTGAAGCCCTAACCCTCAATGTGATGGAATTTGGAGATGGAGGCTTTGGGAAGTAATTATGTTTAGATAAGGTCATGAGGGGTGGAGCTCTGGTGATGGGATTTGTGCCCTTCTAAGAAAAGACACTGGTGAGCTTGCTCTTTCTTCTCTCCACTGTGTAAGGACACACAGAGAAGGCAGACATCGGCAAGCTAGGAAGGGAGCCCTCATCGGAACCAAACTGTGCTGGCACCCTGATCTCAGACTTCTGCCTCCAGAATTGTAAGACAATAAATATCTTTTTAAACCACCCAGTTTATGGTATTTCTTATGGCAACTCAAGCTAACTAAAACAGGGCTAAAGTGAAGGATTCAGGCTAGTTGGACAGGATAACCTTAAGATTTATAACATATCTGAAATTTTAAGTAATATGAATCCTTTTGATGAAGAACTTTGACAAGAGAGATTGGGTTTTATAATAATCAGTATGAAATAAAAGGAATATTGCATGGGCATTTATTGAACAAGAGTATAGCTTAATAAAAAAATGAAGATTATTATGACAGCTAAAGATAGATTGACCAAAAAGAGAGAAGGAAGAAATGGCCAGGAAACTAATATTATAGCATAAATGCAAAATAATAAGAGTTTGAACAAGGCTAGATTAGACATGAAAAGAAAACATTAATAGTACTCTTTAAAGAAAAATTAGCTGGGCATGATGGGATGCCTGTAATCCCAGCACTTTGGAAGGCTGAGGTGGGAAGATCACTGAGCCCAGGAGTTTGAAACCAGTTTGGGCAATAAAGCAAGATCTCATCTCTACACAAGAATTTTATTTTAATTAGCCAGATATGGTGGCATGTGCCTGTGGTCCCAGCTACTCGAGAAGCTAAGGCCGGAGGTGGAAGCTGCAGTGAGCTGTGATTGCACCATTGCACTCACAGCCTGGGTAACAGAGCAAGCCTTGTCTAAAAAAAAAAAAAAAGAGGGAGGGAGGGAAAGAAGAAAAAAATTAATTAAAAAAGTAAGCCACAAGGAATAGGAGAAATTGAGGAAATTATGTCAAAATTGTAGTACTACTGTAAGGATTAAATAACATCATATAATCTAAGCAAAAAACACAGTGAACATAGAAGGGATTCAAAAAGATTACATACTCTTCTGCCTATAGAGTTGAGTTTTAACACTTGTGTGTTAATTACCAGCAGATGCTACATAACTAGGTATCTTGTAAGCTTTTGGAAACTACTGACTTAAAATTGTCCTCTTTCTAGATGCAATACATGACTTTAGGTTAAGTAACATGAAAATACAAGGATTTTCAATTAAGAAGAAAATGTGATTATTTCCAAAATTAGAGCAAGATAATATGGAGCAGGGTCTATGGAAATAATTACTTACATTCGTAACTGGCCATCCAAATTGAGTAGTTTGCTAGAGAAATAGCTTAAATCCAAACAAATAAGTAGACATTCAAAATTAAGTTCTCAGTAAGGTAAAAAAAATCAAAATCCGCCTCAGAAAAAAGCAAAACACATGGCACTTACATTCTGCCAACATTCCTACTGCCTTATACTTTTTCAGTCTGCACTCTTGACATTTTCTACGCATGTACATGTCCATTTCACAGTGACTACCATTCCTGCAACTATATACTGCATTTTGTTGATGCTACATTGAAAAAAACCCAATAAAAAAGTTTTAAAATTTTTTACCATAGGTATTTCTAGTTAATTATTTTTATTAATATATGCCTTCATATTAATCACGTTAACTAAATTATTTCAATAAAATGTTTTTTCTCTCAATAAGATCGTTTGATATACATTTATCTGGATAGTTGTCTTAACCCTCTCCTGATTCATGTTTTCTATTCCAAGGTTATTCCTTTCAGTAATCACATCTGGAAATTAAACTCAATAGCTCTATTACATTAAGTCAACTCTCTATGTTACTGTGGTTATATCAGCTAAAAGCATTTTTAAAACTATGTTTTACAGAATATCAAGATTTAAAGAAGCATCTCTCAAGACTTCCTTTAAAGAATAGGTGGTCATGTAAAATAAAACTATAAAGAAAATCTTTTTTCTTCTCTCACATTTCCACTCAACCCACAAAGGAAGAAGTATTCTTCCAAACTTACTTCCCTACGTATGTCTCTTTTTTAGCACTTTCCCAGATGAGAAAGTGTTGCTAGTTTATTTGGACTGAGATATTGAGGGGGCCATGTTTGGCAGGGGGAGGGGGAGGTCTACATTCTCTCTTTCACTTTCTAAATCCATGCATAGTAGTTCCTCTTCATATTTCCTCCTTCAATTCCTGTTCTTATGCAATAATCCCTGCTATCTTTTTCTTCCATTCCAAGCAGTGAAGTCAATAAACTTAGTCAATATCCCTCTTAAAGTCCAGCCATATCGTCTTTTTCCATAGACACTTGAGAGTGGGAGTTTCATGATTTAGATTCAACAAAAAGAGTAAAAAGTTCAGCTTTGGTTTCCAGAACTATGTCTCATTTGTCAATCTAGTTTTAATAGCAAGGCCCTGCATTTCAAGAGTAAGTAAACATGTGCCCAGCTATTCTATTCACAAAGCTGTTACTTCATTTCCCATAGTCTTCATTTAGCTATTCTTTGTAAGGGGTGAATTGTAAGATTCTAACAGTGAAACTTCACTCTGAACCTCTACAAGACATGTTTTCCCACTATATTGACCTAATCATTCACAAGTTCTGTCCCCAAACTGCATTTTTTAATAAAAGCCATGCAGGAGTATTTCAAAACCTCAAATTTTATCAAGGACTGTTTCACTCTTGGAAAATGCAATGGTCTTCACTTTCGGACCTTTAATTTGTTTTTGCAAAGCGTTAAAAAATATAGAATCTTATAAGTCATTCAATTCAAATTTCCTCCAAATGCATGAATTATAGCAACCACATAAAAGGATGTGATAGTAAACATTCAGATCTTTTAAAACATCATTTTCTCTTCCAACAGGAGACTGATCTAGGAATATGGAAACCTTCTACTCTATAAATATCAAATTATACAATTAAATGTAAGAGTCCTCATGAAAAATGAAAAAAACACTACATATAAACTTTACATTCATTCCATTTTCATGTCTTTGATCCCACAGACTGATCCATTTAATCACAGCATGGCTTTCCCTGGTTTTAACTCTCATACTTTAAAAAGTAAGAGTATTCTCACATGCCTAAAATTTTGTACTAAGATTTCAATTTTATTTTAATCTTATCCTTACCTTTGCAACCTTCACAGGTAAGTGCATTATAATGATATGGTGATGGTGATGCTTTATCACCACAAACTACACAGAATTCTTCCTGTCCCTTATTTCTCGAGGAAGAATAGGTTGGTCTGGACCTTTTTATTCCAGGGTATCCATCTTCAGCATCATGAGCAACCACATAAGTGGGTTTATTTAATTCACGAGAACTAAATCCACACTGTCCACCATCACTGTCCTGTGGATCCAATCTATAAGTGTTGAAATGATTTTATAAAGATTCAGACTGTAAAGCTGGAGGAAACTGAGCAATAGAATACTGGCAATAAGGTGATTTTTTAAAATGAGTGTCATGCAGCTGATAACTAATTTGTTCTGGTAAAATATCTAGTTTTTAAAACATGAAAAAGAACAAATGGTAAAAAGTCAAAATTTCCTAATAGTTTTCAAATTTCAAAGTGTTTAATCTCAACAAGCAAAGTTAGTTCAACATATCCACTACATCCCAGAAGCTTTCTGTCCAGCATGATGGACAGACAGTAAACAACTGATACATGATAAATGCTACAATCCCAGAGGTATGCAGAGGTTGCTCAGGAGCTATAAGAAAGGGTAATCATTGCTCATAGCTTACATAGCAATCCATTCTCCCTCAAGTGAAAAATAATATGTTCTAGAGTTTGGAACAGAAGAAGGTTTTCCCCACCTTCTGCATTTCCCTTGTGGATACAATTAGTTTCAGTGTATTCCGGTCAAGAACAATATGAATTAATAAATTATTTCACTACCTCGCAAAAAAAATCAAACTAAAATACACTTTTACCAGTTATCTGCTTATTTCAAACAAAAGAAAAATTTTGTCTGAACTCTTCATTTGCTATATCTCAATGCCCTTCATTGCCATTTGTAGCCAGATTTAAATTACTAGTTTCTTTTTAATTTTGTTGTTTATCTGAGTAAATTTACCTAATTCACAGGGTCACTGTAAGAATGAAATGAAATATAGTCATGCACTGCATAAAGACATTTGGGTAAATAATGGACCACACATACAACAGTGGTCCAATAACATTATAAAGGGGCTGAAAAATTCCTGTCACCTAGTGATGTCATAACCATCCTCACATGTTTGTGGTGCTGCTGGTGTAAACAAACCTACTGTGCTGCCAGTCATGTAAAAGTATAGCAGATACGATTATGTACAGTACATAATACCTGATAATGATAATAAACAACCATGTTACTGGTTTATGTATTTACTATCCTATAGTTTTTATCATTATTTTAGTGTGTGCTCCTATTTATTAAAAAAAAAAAAAAAAAGGTTAACTGTAAAACAACCTCAGGCAGATCCTTCAAGAGGTATTCCAGGGAAGGCATTGTTGTCATAGGAGATGAGAGCTCCACGTGTATTACTGCCCTTGAAGACCTGCCAGAGGGACAACGATATGGAGATGGAAGATGACTGATGATTCTGACCCAGTGTAAATCTAGGTTAATGCATGTGTTCGTGTCTTGTCCTTAATAAAAAAGTTTTAAAGGTTTTAAAAAATTTTAATAGAAAAAAGTTAAGAATAGGAAAAGGATATAAGGAAAATATTTTCATACAGCTGTACAATGTGTTGGTGTTTTAAGAAAAGTATTATTGCCAAAGAGTCAAAAAGCTAAAAAAATTAAGTTAATAAAGTAAAAAAGTTACAGTAAGCTAGAATTAGTTTATTATTGAAGAAGGAAAATAATTTTTTATAACTTTAGGGTAGCCTAAGTATACAGTATTTATAAGTTCTACAGTAATGTACAGTGATGTCCTAGGCCTTCACATTCACTCACCATTCATTCACTGATTCACTCAGAACAACTTCCAGTCCTGCAAGCTCTATTCATAAGTACCCTATACAAGTGTATCATTTGTTATCCTTTGTACCTTATTTTTACTGAACCTTTTCTATGTTTAGAATAATCTACCAAATACTTACCATTGTGTTACAATTGCCTACAGTATTAAGTACAGTAATATGCTATACAGGTTTTAGCCTAGGAGCAATAGGTTAGGCCATAGAGCCCAGGTATGTAGTAAGCTATACTCTCTAGTTTGTGTAAGTACATTCCATGATATTCACACAATGATGAAATTGCCTAACAATGCATTTCTCAGAACGTATGTAAGCAGCACCTGTTATTAAGTGACACATGACTATACGTAATTAAAAGCATGTATATATTATAAAATGATACATAATGTATATCATTATTATCAGAAGCTCCCAAACACCAACTTACTTCCTGCTTTCAGGAGAACTACTAAATTTAAAATTTCAAAATTGGCTATAGAAGGATCCAGGAATACTTAATTGTTCAATGTCTTTAATATGTGTGCTTCCCCTGGTGCTGAATCATTAGATGATTAGACTTATTCTTATCCTCAAAATTCTGCCACCAAGATTGGTAAACATCATAATTTTAATTAATTTACATAAATCATTTACAATCTTACAGTATCCAAAGCAATGCTAAATGTTGAATGAATACCAAATGACAGCCTTATATAAGAAAGAAGGTTAACAGTAAAACAACGTAGCTTTCTTTAAAAAAAAAAAAAGAAGAAGAGGACCTTTCTTGGATGACTGTCAAATAAGACCGTCTTTTTTTCACTACAGTAGAAAACTGGCTGATGTTCTGTTGGCATGGAAATCAGAGTTCAAACTATAAAAGAAAGCTGCATTTAAGATTAAATTTATATTATAATCTTAGTCTTTTTGCAAAAAAATTCCTGTTTCTATTGCATTCTGTTTTCTTTCTCTTTACCTTTTATAAGAATCTTATGTTAAGATTAAAATGTCAAGCATGTGAAAATCTATTGCGAACTGCATTTACTAAATTGCATGAAAACCAGTTTGAGCCAACCCATAAAAATAACTTCAAATTTGCATGTTAATTCTCTTTTTTAAAACTGAACACAGTTTTAGACTATTGTGCTTTTCCTTCCTTACCTTTCATTCTGGCTTACAATATTTTAGTATTATTGATTTTTGAAGCTAATTATTTTCTTTCATAGAGAATAATTTACAGTCTTTTGTTCATTTGTTAATTTATTTTTTAAATCTCTGTAATTAACCATAATTCTCACAAAAAAGTCTTATTAACAATTTTTTACTGTAGTTTTTTGTCACATATCATAGCAATGCACTGACTGGTTCAGCAAGACAATACCTATCACATGCAGTGACATAAGTATTTGCCATTCTCTGGTCCAGTTCTCACTGCTTCATTCCTTTCAGTCAATGCTGGGCTTTTCAGAGTAAAACATGAAGGAAACAAAATTTTTGGAGACTATTCGAAAGTGTGGTTATCAGATCAGTATGGTTTGATGAAAGTACAATGCTATTTTTTAAACTAAGGATTTAGCAGAATTTATACAAGACATTCATATTTACACTTTAATTGGGAAAATGTTGATTTTTTCATCTCTAAACACCAATTTATTTAATTCAGTTACAGTAGATAGTCAGGCGGTATGAGCAGGGCAGGAGAAGCTATTGATCAGCAGCTTTCCAATAAGATCTCAGGAGTAAGGTGAGTGGGCTCAAGCATGCGCAATTAAGAGGCAAAATGGCAGAGTTTAACTGGTATATGACCTTCTAGGGACATTCAACTGGTAAGGAAAGAACACCTCAAGTGAGCATTCATACAACTGTAGTAAACACACTGCATGTGCTCCCCTCCCAACTGCTAGCAGGCCACTACACATGCAAACAGCCCACCCCAAGGGATGAATCAGGGGAGAAGGGATACAAGAACCCAGAAGGATGCCAATGTATAAGACCCCATGTCAAAGGTCAAACAGCATCTCTCAAGTTGCCTGCTTGGCCCTCTTCTAAGTGTACTTTACTTCTTTTCATTCCTGCTCTAAAGATTTTTAATGAACTTTCACTCCTGCTCTAAAACTTGCCTCAGACTCTCCTCCACCCTATGCCCTTCAGCTGAATTCCTTCTTCTGAGGAGGCAAGAACTGAGGTTGCTGCAGACCCATGCAAATTCACCGCCACTGGTATACTTTGGTGCTGTGTGACTCGGATATGATCTGTTGCTGACACATTTGGTGCCACGTGACTTGGATACATTCCCCAGTGGTAAGACACCTCTATGCCTTGCCTTCTTCATCTGGAGACATTTAACCCCCATACACTGTTTTCTTCTCCCCTTTCCCTCTCCTGCTTACAAATTAACACCCAGAATTGTACCTCTCAGCCACAGTGGTCTGCTCCCCGTGCTGATCTCTCAGTTCACCCTGGCTCATAGGGGTGGGAAGGAACTTGGGGTCCACACCGAGTAGAACTGAGGCACTAATGGCCCTTCTGGACAGGAAACTCTCAAGAGTGAGAGGGCTAAAGCCTAAAACCGGGCAATGTCTGGGGTTTCTTCTGCCTTTTCAACTAAAATCAGCTCTTTCCAAGAACCCATACTGCCTATTCTCCTATTTTCTCTGTGTGTTTTCAGAAATGACCTTACACACCCACCAGACCATCCACCACAGGGGCAAGTTTGCCTCTTTTGCTTTCACTTTGCATGCCACATGGCTTCTTAAACACACACTCCCTGTTATTTGTGTTCCGCAGCTCTTACTGTGTTTATGTGGCAGCAAAGACACAGGCTCCCTTACAGATATCCCCTGAGATTTATACTTGTTTTTACACTACTAGCTTGCATGACCTCCAAACCTTCCCCTGTCTGCTAGCAACATTGCTGGGACATACAGTAATTGGAACCCCTGCTCTGACAGCTCCTTATGACTTACTGAAACAGCCAAGTGTAAGGGGGTCTCCGGAATTCCAACTGGCCTGTGCACTGGGAGGAGTGAGCACTGGGGTGGAGCCACAGAATTTCACACCATTTGCAGTGGGGAGGAGCCTGGCCCCACCTCTACCTGGGTGAAACCCAGGGTTCAATCTGTGAGGTGGGAAGCACACTAGCAGGGACTCTGGCTTTGCGGAGAGTCCCTGTTTCCCCTTTTTCTTTTTTGTCCAAAAAACTCCATTAGTCTCAACCTTCAAATTGTCTGCAAGCCTAATTTTTCATGGCCGTGTGACAAGGACCCACCTCTTAGCTGAACTAAGGAGAGAGTCCTACAACATCTTTGGCACCCAACATGGGGCTTGAGAAGTGGTGAAGCAGATGCAAACCAAAAAAAAGACTTTTTCCCTCTTGTTTCTAAGCCTTTTCATCCTCGGACTTCTGAGGGTAGGGGAAACTGTGACCCCACCCCCATCACTTCTGGGGGTTGAGAAGGTCAGCTTCGGTCTCCATGGTCTTTTCCTTCCTTTTTTGGGATGGACAGGCCAGCAGCTGCTTTCTCCTCCCCTCCCCTTCCCCTCCCTGCCAGGGCTGAAACGCATGGCCCAAGGGCCCTGAACGAACAGCTAGCTGGCATTCCCTGCCACTCACTGCCAGAGACTTTCCCCTTCCTTGGCCAAGGGGTTCAACTCCATTGGACAGTAATTAAGCTTCTCTCCCCAGTGGAGGAACCACTTGCATAAGAATAAGAGGTTGTTCCCCCCAGGCATCCTTTTCCCTACGCCATCAGCAGTTAAAAGTTTTTTTCCTTTTAGAAGGTGTTTTACTCAGCTGGAATGATGAGGATCACTGTTTATATTCTCTGCAAAGTTTTAATTGTGAAAAAGGCTTTGTGAGGCTGGTCTTAAGCTGTAGACAATCTGGTGTGCTTTGCATGTCTGTGTGGGTCATAGCAAACTTCACTGCAGGCCTTCATCTTGTTTTACATCCTGCGGTCGTGGCCTGTAACCCGTGGCAAGGCTTTCTTTAGCAATCCTGCTTTAGGAAATAAGTCCTTTCTGGTTTGATATCTGCATATTTTCCTAGCCCTGTCTCTTAAAGGGCTCCACCTGGGGACTGGGTTTTCTTCTGCCTGTTTGTGTAGCAATATGTGTGCTGTGTGTGATGTCTGTAAAAAGAGCTCTAATTCATCGGCCTAAAAGAAGACAAGCAATTGGATCATGTAGGTTTTAAAGGGAATATAAAAGCTGTGGTACCCTTCAGTTCACATGACTTTAATCTTTGAGAAATAAAAGCAGCCTTTAAGATTATTGGTAAAAAGCAGATGTCATCAAAATGTAAATAGGTGGACTAAATTATGCAGGTCATATGCAAGGTTTGCTAAGTGTTATAAACTACTTTCTGGGTTTTAAGAACTATATGACTTGCTGGCTTCATAACTGGTGAGGCCTGGGGACATGTAGAACTAAACACGCCCTTAATTATGCTGGAAGGAGTCAAACCTTGGTTGCACATAGCACACAATTAAACAAGTTACCAGGTTTTACATTAAGGTTAAAAATTGCCAGGAATTACCATTATAACATGTAATTGAAACTACTGAAAATAGATTTACATGTGAGATGTGTAAGAACAGTAAAATGTGTTTTTCTATAAAAGGTTATAAGAAGGCATGGAAATATAAATTCTTGCCTAGGGTTAAAAGATTGTTTTACATTAAATGTGATAAAGCTGAAGGTTCAAACAAAAGTAGTGTAAGGATTGTGGAAATTAATCTTGCAGAAGTGGTCCTCTGTGTGACCATATTGAGTAAATTCAAAAAAGGTATTATATGGTTTTTCCGTAAATTGAGCATTAAAATAAAAGCTCAAAAAGATACTCTTTAGGCATGAATCTGCTCTTTAGCAAAATTTGTAAAGGGTTGTAAAAGGTTTTTGTCTCTTTACAATTTCTGAGTCATCATTTTGGCAAAATAAATAACATTATAATCTAAATTCTATTTCATAACATTAAGTATTTTAAAAATCAAACACCTTTAACAGCCTTCCCAAAATGAAACTTCAGTTTCAAAATTGTCTTTCCTGATTGTCTGGCTTTTTGGGTGGATTAGAGGGCCCCTGAAACATCCAGAAAAGAAGTAAACAGGATTTTTTGACATATTTAGTTACATGAGATTGCCAAAATGATGTTCAATTTTATTTAGGTCATATTTTGGTGAATAATACTAATATATGTTCCAAAATTGTATGGGATTTCTAAAATTTTAATGTCTAAGTATATGCTATCAATCATAATTAAGGTTGTTATGTTAAGTTATTGTAAACCACAGAGATAACCAAACTTCTTTGTCAATTGGGTTTCTAACTGTAACTACCCTGGACATTTTGTAATTCACAGACAATTGTTGTCTTGTTGTAATCCTTTTCCAAAGGTGGTTTATAATAGGCTGTAGAACTGTAACAGATGCTCTCAAATACAGGTTTGGTTTTTGATAATTTTTGGAGATTGTAACATTGGAATAAAGGGAAATGTACAAGACTCATGAAGAGCTAAAATGTTCACAAATATCAAGCAAAACAAGAGTTAACTAAATGGACTGAACTCAGAAACTGAAGCAAATCTTTTTTACTTTTGCTTGGAATATTGCTGATCCGTGTTTTTTTCAGAGTCAAGGAAACTTATTTTGAACTATTTACAGCCTTTAATAATTGAGTAAGGTATACTTCTGTGAACAAAATGTGGAGCATGTTTGTTTCTCTCTGCCTGTTTCCTCTAGAATTCAGAAACTATCTGTGAGTGTTCTTAACTTGTGGCAATATAGTTGTTTGCATCAGTGCAGTAAGAATCTATTTTTCTTTTGCAACAAAACCCAATTAGAGAAACTGGTTGTTCTATCAAGGCTTTGACTGGAAGAGTATTCTTCCCTTTAAAGAGTCAAGCTCAACTTGCATAGTCAATAAAAGCACAGTGGGGAGAGTGGTCTCATACCCTTGTCCCTGCACAGAGTTCCTGACTGGTGGTCAGCAAAGAATGTCACTTTCCAGCTAGAGAAGATAAGTCCTTCTCTCTTTAGAAGGGGTGGAGAGGTGGCACTCTTCATACACTCCAGACACACTGCAGAGCCATGCATTAGCTCTCAGAGACAAACTTCCCACACAATCATCTCTTGGGTCAAAACAAGGACAATTACAAGCTGACATAAATCAGATAACCAGATCATCAGGGATAGAGCCCTTTGGAATCTCCAAGTTACACTCTCCCACAGTTCCTTGTTGTTTACTTAATAAATATTTTGTTTTCTTTATTGAATTTGACGTTCTTCCACTTTGGTTACAAAACATTAGATCTCTACAAACTAATGAGTAAAATACAAAGGAAGAGGAAACAAACCCTGATTAATTCAAACTTCATTAGTACAGATGCTAAAATGATTCATCTTGATGTTTATCTTTGCATTACCTACAAATAAAGTTTTCAACCAATTAGAAATATGTGGTGCACACCTGTAATCCCAGCACTTTGTGAGACTGAGACTGGTGGATCACTTGAGCCCAGTAATTCGAGACCAGCCTAGCCAACATGGCGAAACACCATCTCTACAAAAAAAAACCACAAAAATTAGCACAGCTGTGGTGGTAAGGCCTGTAATCCCAGCTATTCATGGAGCTGAAGTGGGAGGATCACTTGAACCTAGGAACCGGCAGTTGAAGTGAGGCAAGATCGCACCACTGCACTCCAGCCTGGGTGACAGAAAAGACCCTGTCTTAAAAAAAAAAAAATTAATCTCTTAGCTAGTGCCATGGCTGTAATCCTAGCACTTTGGGAGACCAAGGTGGGAGGATTGCTTGAGCTCAGGAGGTTGAGACCAGTCTGGACAATATGGCAAGACCCTGTCTCTACAAAAAATAAAAAAACAATTAGTCAAGCATGGTGGCATGTGCCTGGTCACAGCTACTCAGGAGACTGAGCTGGGAGGAGGATCGCTTGATCCCAGGAGGTCAAGGCTGCAGTGAGCCACCATTGGGCCACTGTGCTCCAGCCTGGGCAACACAGTGAGACCCTGTCTCAAAAATTTTAAAAAAAGAAGATGAAGAAGAAAAAAAGAAATATGAATGATCCATATATTGATACAATGTTAGATATGTACATTCTAATCCAACTTGCTCTTTTTTGGCTAAGACAAATTGCAACACAAATAGATGTTAGTACTTGTTCAAGTTCTCATAGCTAATTGGTAGCAGAAATGAGAATCAATGAAAATCCAAGCAGTTGTACAGAATATATAAATAACTTGATCATGATTTCTTTTTAATATCACTTATAATAACAAAGTGTGTTAGATACTAAGCTCATAGTCTCATCCCTTTAAGAGGCAAAGTTTCAAACAGTTTCAGCCAGTAAACTCTGACTCTCCTGGTTACATCTCCTCTGATCTGATGACTCACCATTTGTTTTTTTTTTTTTTTTTGAGACTGGTCTCTAACTCCTGATGTCCTGATCCACCCACCTCAGCCTCCCGAAGTGCTGGGATTACAGGCATGAGCCACCATGCCCGGCCGACTCACCTTTTTTATCTGACTCTAGGGTTTGGTCTCAGTCCTGCCCAATTCCACATTCATAGGAACAACACACTGCTTCAATATACGCCTCGACTTTCCCTGGCATATGATCTTAGCCCTCATCCTGTTTCTGGCTTCCCAACAACTATATTCATGTTGAATTTTTCAAGGGTCCTCATCTACACAGGGTAGATTATGATAAAACCTGTAAGTCATGTTACATGGAGTTTTGTTTACTTTTTAAAATAATAGGGCCTGTGCCTGTGAATTTTAGTCAGTGAGCCAAAAAATAATAATCATATCATTACAATTCCTTTGTGTTGATTAAAAAATATTCCAAAAATAGGCTCCAAATTATGCCTTAAAAGAAGCGACACTCTACTGGCAACCTCACATTGAATAATAGCAAAAGAATTCATTCTTCTGCTATTGATATTTTTTATCAAAATACTTGATTTTTTAAAGCAATGCTTAATTTCTAAAGTACTTATCAGAAACATTTGTTTCTTTTTAAAAAAAAATTTTTGTTTCTTTTTTAAAAAAATATTTTGTATTGTTTAGTTTTTGCAGAGATGGAGCCTCATCATGTTTTGTTTTGTTTTGTTTTGTTTTGTTTTGTTTTGTTTTGTTTTTTTTGAGACAGAGTCTCGCTCTGTCGCCAGGCTGGAATGCAGTGGCACAATCCCAGCTCACTGCAACCTCTGCCTCCCAGGTTCAAACGATTCTCCTGCCTCAGCCTCCCGAGTGGCTGAGATTGCAGGCATGTGACACCATGCCCGGCTAATTTTTGTATTTTTAGTAGAGATGGGGTTTCACTATGTTGGCCAGGATGGTCTCCATCTCTTGACCTTGTGATCCACCTGCCTTGGCCTCCCAAAGTGCTAGAATTACAGGCATGAGCCACCGCGTCTGGCCAATAGAACATATTTTTAAGTTTTGCACAGGCTACTATCACCTGAGCATTTTATTTATAATCACACATTTCACTGGTGTTCCTTAACAAGCATGAATGGGGAAATCTCTTACAGTTTATCATTTTTATAATGTCAATCAATACACAGGTAGCCTACATAGATAGATATATGCCATTTAAAATATTAAAAATATTAACATTATTGCCTTATCAGTAATGACATAAAGAGTTACAGATTTAATCCACTTGTTTTATTTATTTATGTTTAATATTTATTATTTTTTCTTGACTGACTGATTGTCATTAGGGAAGGGACTTTGAGGAGGTAACATCCAAGCCAAGATCTAAAAGATGAGAAAAAACAGCCACAATAAAAACTGAGGGATGAGTGTTTTAGTGGGAACAACACATACAAAGTTCGTAAGTATGGAAAGAGTTTGGCCTGTGCGAACACCAAAAGAAGTCCAGTGTGGTGAATAATGAGAAAAGACATGATTAGAACAAAATGAGACTGGAGAGAAAATAGGAACCAGACTGTATAGGGCCTTAGAGGAGTCTGAATTTTATTCTGAATGTAATAGAAAATCATTGAAGGATTTTAAGTAAAGAAGGCACACAGTCTGAAGCGTATTTTTTGTTTTGTTTTCTCTTGTTGTTTTGTTTAATTGAAATTCTCATTGAGATCATTGTAGATTCACCTGCAGTTATAAGAAGTAATACAGAGAGATCTTTCTTACACTTTATCCAGTTTCCTTCAATGGTAATATTTTCCAAAACTATAGGACAATACCACAAGCAAGACATTGACATTGATACAAACCACCTATCTTATTCAGATTTCCCCAGTTTTACTTGCAGTTATGTACGTGTGTAAGTTCTATAAGATTTTTGTCACTTGCAAGTTTATGTGTCCATCGCCACAGTTCAGGTACTGAACAGTTGCAACACCACAAGGATCCCTCATGTTGTACCGTTTTAAACCACACCTTTCTTCCTCCACCGTCTTCCCATTTCCAGCCTCTGGAAACCACTAACCGTCCTCCATTTCTAAAATTTTGTTATTTCCAGGTTAGTACATTACATAATCTTTTATGAATGGCTTTTTTTTTTTTTTAACTAGGAGCCCTTTCAGTGCAAATAGGATTGGGTTTTTTAACTCAGCATAATTCCCTGGAGAGTCATCCAAGTTGTATATATCAAGAGCTCACTCCTTTTCATTACTGATTAATATTCCATTGTATGGGCTTGCCACAGTTTGTTTAAACATTCACCCATTGAAGGACTTGTTATTTCATTCTAGTTTCTGGCTATTGCAAGTAAAGTTGCTATGAACATTCATGTACAGGTTTTTGTGTTAATACATGTTTTCATTTTTCTGGGATGAATGTCCAAGAGTGCAATTGCTGGGTTTTATTGGTAGTTGGAAATTTTATTTTATAAAAAGCTTCTAAACTTTTCCTGAATAGCTGTGCCATTTTACCTTTCTACCAACAATGTATGAGTGATCCAGTTTCTTTGCATCTTTACCAGAACTCAGTATTATCACTATTTTTTATTTCAGCCATTCTGATAGGTTGTGGTTTTAACTTGCATTTTTCTCATGGCTAATAATGCTAAACATTTTTTAATGTGTTTATTTGCCATTTATATATCCTCTGTGGGGAAATGTCTATTCATGTCTTTTTCTCATTTTCCAATTGGTTATCTTTTTACTGTTGCCTTTTTATATATTCTAGTTCCTAGTCTTTTGTTGCATATATGATTTGCAAATATTTTTCCCAGTCTGTAGCTTATCCATCTTCTTCAGAGGGTCTTTTGCAAAGTGAAAGTTTTTCATTTTTATGCAGTCTAATGTATCAATTTATTCTTTTATGGATTCTACTTTTGATGTTTAATTTAAGAACTCTTTCCCTAGTCCAAATCCTGAAGATTTTCTCTGATTTTTTTTCTAAAAGCTTTATATATTAACTTTTACATTTAAGTCTATGATTCATTTTTAGTTAATATTTTTATAAAGAGTGAGAGTGAGTCTTAAGGTTCTTTTTCTTTTCTTATTTTTTTTCGCCTATTGGTATCCAACCAATTGCTCCAGCATCATTGTTCAAAAAGGTGATCCTTCCTCCATTAAATTGCTTTTGCACCCTTGTCAAAATTCAGTTGGAAATATTCATGTGGGCCAATTTTTGGATTCTCTATTCTCTTCCATTGTTCTATGTGTCTGTCTCTCCACCAGCACTATACAGTTTTGCTGTTTTGATTACTATAGCTCTACAGTAAGCCATAGTATTAAGTAGAGGGATTTCTCCCATTTTATTCTTCTTTGTCATGATTATTTTAATTTTTCTAGGACTTGTGCTTTTTCCATGTAACTTTCAATATAAGCTTGTCTATTGCTAAAAAAATTCACTGGGATTTTTATAGGAATTGTATTAAATCTGTGAACCCCAAATATCTGAGACAGGTCTCAGTTAATTTAGAAAGTTTATTTTGCCAAGGCTGAGGACATGCACCCATGACACAGCCTCAGGAGGTCCCAATGACATGTGCCCAAAGTAGTCAGCACACAGTTTAGTTTTGTACATTTTAGGGAGACACAAGACATCAATCAACATGTATCGGGGGAAATTCAGCCAGATATCGGGCAAAATTCACCCCCGATATTTCATGTAGTTTCTTTTCTATTCTCCCTAAGTGTTGGCTGGTCTTAGAAATAAAGTGACAGAGAACAAAAGAGAAAAATTTTAAAGCTGGGTGTCCGGAGCAGACATCACATGTCGGTAGGTTCCGTAATGCCCGACAAGCCGCAAAACCAGCAAGTTTTTATTAGCGATTTTCAAAGAGGGAGGGAGTGTACGAATAGGGAGTGGATCACAGAGATCACATGCTTCACAAGGTAATAAGATATCACAAGGTAAATGGAGGCAGGGCGAGATCACAGGACCACAGGACTGGGGCGAAATTAAAATTGCTAATGAAGTTTCGGGCACACATTGTCATTGGTAACATCTTATCAGGAGACAGGGTTTGAGAGCAGACAACTAGTCTGACCAAAATTTATTAGGCGGGAATTTCCTCGTCCTAATAAACCTGGGAGAGCTACAGGAGACTGGGGCTTATTTCATCCCTACAGCTGCGACCGTAAAAGATGGCCACCCCTGAAGCGGCCATTTCAGAGGCCTACCCTCAGGGATGCATTCTCTTTCTCAGGGATGTTCCTTGCTGAGAAAAAGAATTCAGTGATATTTCTCCCATTTGCTTTTGAAAGAAGAGAAATATGGCTCTGTTCCACCTGGCTCACCGGCAGTCAGAGTTTAAGGTTATCTCTCTTGTTCCCTGAACATTGCTGTTATCCTGTTCTTTTTTCAAGGTGCCCAGATTTCATATTGTTCAAACACATATGCTCCACAAACCATTTGTGCAGTTAACGGAATCATCACAGGGTCCTGAGGCGACCTACATCCTCCTCAGTTTACGAAGATGACGGGATTAAGAGATTAAAGTAAAGACAGGCATAGGAAATCACAAGGGTATTGATTGGGGAAGTGATAAGTGTCCATGAAATCTTCACAATTTATATTCAGAGACTGCAGTAAAGACAGGTGTAACTGATCCCAATCGCATTAGCCAAGAAGACTTTTTAATATTAGAGTACAGTGGTTAAGAGTAGCCTTCAGCAAATTATTTCACCTTTCTGTGCCTAGATTCTTTATCTGTTAATTTGTAGTAATCATGGGTTTTCATGATAATCAATGAATTGCCTTATCACATCATTGACACTTGTTAGGAACTCGAATGTGGAGCTATTGTTATTGCTATTACAATATTGTAATTTTGTAAAAAAATTAGTAACAAAAAAAAGAAAGTATAAAAGTATTAATTTGGGGAACTAATAAATGTCCATGAAATCTTCACAATTTATGTTCTTCTGCCATGACTTCAGCCAATCCCTCCGTTCGGGGTCCCTGACTTCCCACAACAAACATATGTAAGATGAACATTGGTTTGGTCCAGAAAAAGTGGGGCAATTCAAAGAAAAGGTGAGACAACTTGGAGCGGGGAGGGAGCTTCCAGGTCATAGATAGGTAAGAGACAAATGGTTGCAGTCTTTCGAGTTTCTTATTAGCCTCTCCAAATGAGGCAATAAGATATGCATTTATCTCAGTGAGCAAAGAGGTGACTTTGAATTGAATGAGAGGCAAGTTTGCCATAAGCAGTTTCCAGCTTGACTTTTCTCTTTAGCTTAGTGATTTTGGGGCCCTAAGATTTATTTTCCTTTCACAAACCTATTGATTAGTTTGAGGAACATTAACATCTTTACTCTGTTGAGTCCTCCAGTCCATGAATGTGATATATCTCTCCAATTATTTAGGCTGTCTTTGAGTTATTTTTTCATAGTTGTTAGAATACAAATCCTGTATATGTTTTGTTAAGTACATACTACATATTTCATTTTCTTTGGAGTGATTGTAAATGGTACTGCTTTTAATTTCAGTTTCTTCATGTTCATTGTTAGTATATAGAAATGTGATTGTATTTTTCTGTATTGTCTTATATCCTGCAACATTACTGAACTTACTTGTTATTTCCAGAGTGAATTTTTAATTCCTTGGAATTTTTTATACAGACCATCATCTCATTGGCAAATGGGAACAGTTTTATTTCTTTCCTTCCAATCTATATGCCTTCTATTTCTTTTTCTTGACTTATTGCAATGGCTAGAATTTCCAGCACTATATTGAATAAGAATGGTGTGAGAAGACATCCTCACTTTGTTCCTAGTCTTAGAGAGAAAGCATTCAGTTTTTCATTCAGTGATGTTAGCTGTAGGATTTTTATACATGCTCTTTATCAAATTGATATAATTCTCCTCTACTCCTAACTTCTTGAGTGAATTTAATTTCCAAATAGCTCAGGATGTTATATGGGGACTAGAATGGAGGAGAGAAAGAGAGAAAGTGAAGTGACTAGTTAGGTGACTATCACAGTATATAAAACTAGGATGATGGCTGTGACTTGAAGTAGGGCATGGAGATAAGTTGACAGATTCAAGATACATTTTGCTGTAGAATCTGTAGGTTTTTCTAATGATTGGATGATTAGAATGAGAAATTGCATTTGGCAGCAAATAATAGAAAATTCTACTACAGTGTAGAAATAAATAGAGAATAAATAGAGAAATGTTAAGAATAAATAGAGAAGTGTTTCTCCCATTTAACTAAGAGTCTGAATCTGAGTAGTCCAGGGCTGGTATAGTAGTTCTATGATGTCATCAATGTCATAAGATCTTTCTATCTTTTGCTCTCTCATCATTAGGTATGGCTTTCAAACATACAGTCACAAGATAAATGCCATACTTTCAGGCACCATTGCTGAGTTCCAGTAAGGAAGATAGAGGGAGGGTTACAAAGATTTTTTTTAGTGAGATTTTATCCAGAAACATAAGCACTTCTAGAAACATCCATCAATAGCTCCTTGATCAAAAGTATGTTATTAACCACTCAGATTCAAGGGAGGCTAGAAAATGAGTATTTCATTTTCCAGCTCCTAGAAAGTTTATTACAATAGCGTCAGGTGAGCCAGTTCATAGTATCTGCCACAGTAGGAATGATGGAGACTAATGAATCATGGATGACTTCCAGGTTTCGCATTGATGGATTGTTGGATCAATTTACAGTTTAGTAAGGATAAATAAGATTTGAATAACAATGGATTTTTAATGGAAATCAATAATTCAATTTTGGACATGTTGACATTAAAATGAAGTAGTAGGACATGGCCTTGAGGAACTTCAATATTTAAATGTTAGTTTCAGAGTAAACTCACAAAATAGATTGCATAGCTAAAAAGGTAAAAGAAAAAAACAATAGAGTGGTATCAAAAAAATCAGAAGGGACATATGTTTCATGGAGAAGGTACTCAACAGTATGGAATGCTACTGAGAAGCTAAATAAAATGAAGAAAAATATTTTCTATTGGATTTAGCAAAATGAAAGTTACTGATGATTGTATTCATTAGAACTTATTTCAGAAGCAAGAAACAAAAATCCAATTAAACCCAAATAGGGCTCTGCTTTTTTATCCCCACACAACAAAACGTCTGTATGTAAGCAGCTAAAGACATTGGTTGGTAGCTGAACGTCAGGGCCTGCTTCTCTGGGATTTCCTTGGACTTTCTCTACTAGTTGCAAGGTGGGTATCATTGCTCTGGACTCACATCTATGTGCAAGGCAGGAAAAAAAGGCAAAGGTGTGGTACCAGCAACATATGTCCTTTATCAAGAATAGAAAAACTTGACATGAATCCACATGGAACTAATCCTGAGTAGTAGGAGAAGGAAAGTCCAGAGCTCTTCTTTTCTGAGGCTTTAGCCCCATGTGTGAGGGTCTGCCCTCTCAGATCAGTACAGTGACCCCAAGGGTGATCATGTCCTGAATGAGGGGATGCTGAGATTGTTTTGGCAGCTGAAGTAGTACCAGCCTGTTTGGCAATACATGGGAATGATAACCTTTAATACGTAGGCCTAGCTTGTCCCATAAAGTGTTAGGTAAATTGAACAACATCATATACAAGTGAAGTTACATTACATCCTTCACTAGGTTCTTCATCCATGGACACATTAAAGATGAACTGAATCTTGGTCTAAGAATAGGTTTTCTAAACCTATTCTTGAATGGAAGAAATTTTTTAAAACTTAGAACCTTGATATGCTAACTATTTGTAAAGATAGTTATCTATAAACATCTAAAGTAAAATAAACTAAAATAAATAAACTAATAAAAGAAAACAGAACAACTTTCCAAGAAGCCCTTACCCCCAGAATTCTTTTACATCTCATTAGTCAGAACTATGTCACGTGACCAACCTAAACTGCAAGGGAAGCTCTGGGAAAGAGACCGTTTAATTTTTCTAGTCTCTACAGTGAAAATGGACAAGGGAAAAATGCACTGGAATTGGATGATTTGAACAACCAAAAGTGCCTTCTTTGATGACCTTGATCACAGCAGCTTTACTGGTGTGGTAAGAATGAAATCAGATTCTAAGGATTAATAAGAGTAATTTCGAGGGGAGGTAGTGAAACACAATGGGTAGAAATGTTTTCTATCTATCTGACCAGAAGTTTGTGAAAAAAATAAAGCAAAAAATCTCCCCAGACCCCACAACTCAATCTAGATAGCATTCCACTTCTCTGCCTCTCTTCACATGAAGCAGTAGGCTGTGTTCGTAAGATGATGGAAATTGTTTTGTAGTGAAGGGGGGAAAGACTAATGATGCAGGGAGGCGAGAGAATGAAAAAGAAGACTCCAAATGGTTCATGCCTGTGGGTTTCAGCTTGTGATCCCTTCCTGACCACCAGCCTATGGACTTTCGACTTGCTCAAACAGCCTCCACAATTGCATAAGCCAATGCCTTGTAATAAATCTCTTAAAATCCCTGGTTTGGCTTCTCCAATTGATCCCTAACTGATAACAGAATTTGGTCCCTGAAAAGTCCTTGAAAAGGCAATAAAGTTATGTACTGTTTTCTATGAAAGCAGAGAAGAGGGACACTTGCCTATAGAGGTGAATGAAGGCTTCTGAAATGTAGTTTTATTTAAACTAAGTCTTAAAGAATTATTAAAAATGAGTAAGACAAGGAAGGAAGAGAAGCAGTGGTGTGCTGGCAAAACAGCTCACTGGAAAAAATCAAACTTTATCTGTAGCATTTGATAATTTCCTAGTATATATACTCCCACCATGCCCAATTTCAAGCTACCAGTGTAATGTCACAGAATATAGAGTTGGAAAAAGGTGTACACCATCAGCTTTCATAACTCGTATGAGTTTGCGTCACTGATTAGAAGGGCGTAGGGGGAACATCATGTACAATAGAAAAGTAAACACCAAACTTCTTTCTTCCTCAATATGCTTTATCATGGAGAAAAAAATCTAGTGGACACCCTTCTTCACCCAGTTGTCATTACAGTAAAAAGCAAAACTCAGAAGCATGCCTGAGGTTTTTGACAACATGTAATGAGCACCATGATGATTAATTCAAACAAGAAACTCCTAGACATTTTCTTATAAAGGCAGATATTATTGTTTGGCTGGGGTCAATGACTAGCAAACTCACAGATGTGATTCAAACCTAGGCATCCTAGAGAGAATGCTATTTCAACTATAGAATGCTTCTTCTCTACTGTATCTTATTATAAGAACAAAGTCAAGAGACCAAAATATGTATCTGGAAAATTCTTACATACCCTATTAATCTGAAGTCAAATTTTTGAGCATCTCTGTAGTAAGATTAAAATGTCCACTTGGTGTCAGGGCACATTGAATGCCCTGGATTACAGTGGATCTGTAATCCCAGGACTTTGGGAGGTCAAGATGGGAGGATCTCTTGAGGCCAGGAGGCCCAGAGCAGCCTGGGCAACATAGCAAGACCCTTCTCTAAAAACAAAACAAAACAAAACAAAAAAAGTCAACTTAGTTTTGCAATAATTTTAAAGTCAGATTCTAACTCATACATCTATGGCTAATTGATTTTAGGCAAGGGTACCAAGACCATTCAATCAGGAAAGAATAGTCTCAACAAATGGTGCTAGGACAAATAGATCTCTACATGCAAAAGAATGAAGTTGGACCCCTACCTCACACCATATGAAAAAAGTAAACTCAAAATGTGTCAATGAGAACTAAAATCATAAAACTCTTAGAAGAAAACATAGGGGTAAATCTTCACGAGTTTGGATATGGGAATGGTTTCTCAGATATGATATTAAAAGAGCACAAGTAATACAAAAATAGATAAATTAGACTTCATCAATATTAAAAACTTCTGTGCATCAAAGAACATTACCAAGAAAGTAGAAAGATAATCTACAATCTACAATCTACAAAATGGGAAAAACATATTTGCAAATAATATATTTATAAGGGTCTAATGTCCAGAATACACAAAGAACTCTTATAACTCAACAACAAAAAGACTAAATTTAAAAATGGGTAAAGGACTTATATAGACATTTCTCCAAAGATATACAGATAACCAAAAGCACATGAAAAGATGCTCAACATCATTAGCCATTAGGGAAATGCAAATCAAAACAATAATGAAGTACCACTTCACACCCACTAGCATGACTATAAAAAAAACAGAAAATAAGTACTGGTTAGCATGTAGAAAAGTTATAAATCTCACGCACTCCTGGTGGGAATGTAAAATGGTTCAATGCAGTAGAAACAAGTTTCATGACTACTCAAAAAGTTAAATATAGAATTTACCATATGATCAAGCAATTCCACTCCCAGGTCCATAACAAAAAGAATTTAAAACAGGTATTCAAAGAAACACATGTTCATAGCAGCACTGTTTACTATTGCCAAAAGACAGAAACAATAAAATGCCCATCAAGAAATGAATGGAGGCTGTCATGGCAGCTCACACCTGTAATCCCAGCACTTTGGGAAGCCGAGGAAGGCAGATCACTTGAGGTCAGGAGTTCGAGACCAGCCTCGCCAACATGATGAAACCCTGTCTCTACTAAAAATACAAAAATTAGGTGGGTCTGGTGGTGCATTCCTGTAATTCCAGTTACTCAGGAGGCCAAGGCACAAGAATCGCTTGAACCTTGGAGGCAGAGGTTGCAGAGAGCCAAGATCGAGCTACTGCACTCCAGCCTGGGTTATAGAGTAAGACTCTATCTCAAAAAAAAAAAAAAAAAAGAAGAAGAAGAAGAAGAAAAGAAATTAATGGATAAATAAACTGTGATATATACATCAAATGGAATATTACTCAGCCATAAAAAGAAATGAAGTACTGATACATGTGGATGAACCTCACAAACATTACATTGAGTGAAAAAAGCTAGAAACAAAAGGATACATATTATATTATTCTATTTGTATGAAATATCCGGAATAGGTAAATCTATAGAGACATAACACATATTGGTAGTTGCCAGGACTTGAGGATGGGGAGTACACAGCTTATTGGGTATGGGCTTTCCTGTTGGGGTGATGAAAGGTTTAGGACTACATGGAGATGGTAATTGCATGGTATGGTGAATGTACTAAACGCTACTGAATTGTTCACTTTGAAATGGTTAAATCTGTGTCATATGACTCTCACCCGATTTTTTTTAAGCCAGGCCCTACAGATGGAACTCATATTATGCAACCAGACATAATGTCTCCTAAAGTACTGATTTTCACTTTATGTTTAGATCAAGTGAATTCTATTTCATATTTTGGAGTTATTTCACTGAATTTAAAAACTTAACTAGATAGAGCTTTCAATCCCCCAAAAAAGCAGTATAAATTATAGTTACAAGATAGATGGTTGAGTGGTTTTTTTCTCAATGGTTTAAAACATATTTAAGGTTCGTAACAGGAAAGGTAAATCATATTTAATACAGCTGAATTATTTCTACATAATTGGCTTTTCATCTGTGTTCTGGTTTGGGACTGTTTATTCCAGTTTAGTAATTAACCATTATCATCATCCTCATTAATGAAACAGAAACCACCTCTTCTAATCATTTATGAAACACTTGCCATACAAAGTCTAAACAAAAAACAGGATCTGGGCAAAGTGACCACCCTTTAAAAGCTACTGCCACTAATTATAAGATTATTCAAGTTATTCTGTTGTTGTTTTCCATTTATTATGATAAAATCCTAGAGACCTACAGCATTTCTCTTGGCATAGCTCTTCTAGAATCTATCTGAATTATTTTATACAAGGGTGATTATTTTAATAGTACTTTTATCCACTAATGTGAAAAGCTGAGTTTTCGGCTGCTTGTTTATGTCTATTAAGTTATTTTTTAAAGTTTCCTATTAATCAAGACACCCTTAGAGACTTTTTTTTTCTATTCTACTTAATTTTTAGTTGACTGAGTGAAAAGGCATGGGAGAGAGTTTAAGATACATTTCTCAGTTTAAGATATATCTCTTGCAGCCGGGCGCAGTGGCTCACACTTGTAATCCTAGCACTTTGGGAGGCCGAGGTGGGCGGATCACTTGAGGCCAAAAGTTCAAGACTAGCCTGGCCAATATGGTAAAACCCCATCTCTACTAAAAATACAAAAATTAGCTGGGCACGGTGGTGGGTGCCTGCAATCCCAGCTACTAGGGAGGCTGAGGCGGGAGAATCACTTCAACTGGGGAGGCGGAGGTTGCAGCGAGCCGAGATGGCACCACAGTACTCCAGCCTGGGCAACAGAGAGAGGTTCTGTCTCAAAAATAAATAAATAAATAAATAAGATATATTTCTTTCCACACTACTGTGCCAGACACGTGAAGTCCCAGCTACTCAAGCAACTAAGGCAGGAGGATTGTTTGAGCCCAGGAGTTCTAGTCGAGCCTGAGCAACATAGAAAAACTCCTGTCTTAAAAAATAAAACACATGGTGTAAGATGATACAAGCAAAATTACCAATTTGTGTACCCCAAAACAAAATTAGATTTAAATTTCCAATTTTAAAAGATTATTTACTGAGATTTAATGAGAATGCCAGAAAGTTTTAAATGGTTTATAGAAAAATATATTGCACTGTTGTAATTCTTTCTTTCCAAAGTTTCACATTTTATTGAGTTGAGAATATTATTAATTTAGGAAGATGAGGCAAAAAACTAGAATGCTAATCAGAATATAAGGAATAATCGTGGGATGCCAGCTTCATATACATATGATACCAGTGACTGGTCATCAATTGAATATGTTCTTTGAGCTGCTTTTCTAGCACTTTTCACAATTCACAGCTGCACTTTGCTAGCTAAAGGGATCAATCTGTAGCTGTGAAACAGGAAAAGGCTCTAATCTGTGATTGATGATCCAATTCATGATCTTTTTTTCATTATCATTCCATTAGACTCTTGGTCTGTGACTATCTTCTTTACTGTTGTGTCTCCAGGGCCATCACAGGGCCTGGCTCACAATAGGTACTCAATAAGTATTTATTGTATAAGTGAATAAATGATCAAGAATGAATGGCTATGTTAATCAACTGAGATGCATCTAGGATTCAAGAAAGTCAGAATACTCAAGGCGTTCTTTATCTTACACCTTCTATTTTGAATTCAAGACTTATTCTCATTTTGTAGAAGAAAAACTGAGCACTAGTAGTTGACAATTTGTTTATGCATCTATTAGTACTTTATCTTGCTGGGCTGTAATTGCTTTCATTCATATGTATCTAACCAATTGATTGTGTATAGCTTACAAGCAGTGGTCATTTTTACTTTTGTTTCTCTGGTACTTAATATGGTGACTTGCATGTAAGAGACACTTAATAGATGTTTATTGAGTCCAAGGTTGATACTTTTTCTAAAATATTCTCTTCATTTTATGTTGTTTCTAGTACTCTAGTGTAGTACAGACTTCAGAATTCAGAAATCTATAGAAAATGACAGAGGCATTTCTACCCAGGTATAACTTTAATATATTTTCTAAATCTTATTGATTAGCACTACATTTTAAAAATCATATTAATAAAATCGCCAATGAATAAATAAAATCTCATGACAATCTCGATTTCAAGGGCAGGAAAATTTTCTAAAGTGTTCTAGTTACAGTTTTCCTATCTAGATAATTTAGAAAACAATACTGCCCAATATATTTCCATAATACCAGTCAAAATCTTCTGGGGAAATAGTACTTTTTCTCCAAAGTGTCAAGGTATATGAGCACCTGTTAAGGATCTTATTCTGGGAAATGGGGAGTAGGGAGAAGGAACACCTGGTCAAACGGCCAGGTGAATCACCCTTGTATGAATTAAAGAACTGAACAATATAAAGGAGAACTTGTGGTTTCACCGTTTATGACCCTGACAACCTTTACCTGGAAATTTCACCATTGATTTTGGACTGTCAGATATTTTGTATAAATGCACTTTAAAATGTAGAATTAAAAACTCTAAGACTTTTTTTCATTATATCCCCCTTTCTCCAAACAATCATATGTTTGATATAATATTATAGAAATACACATCATATGTGGAGACTGTTTCATTGTCGTTGCCAGTCTGTTTTGTGTAATGGGGCACTGACAGAACAGCTCGGGCTCTAATTGCAAGGGTAAAAAGTTATTCACATTTTTAATGCAGTGTTTATGACTATTTGGCACTCCTCTTTATATTAGTTCTAGAATTAGAATGGGTATTTTAAAGACTATCTATGGAGAAGGATGGTTGCTCTTTCTTGTTTTTTAATTAAATCAAGTAATTCTTTGTTAGGAATTCTTCTGGGTCCTGCCAAAATAAAATTGTATCATTTTGACAAGATGCAGAAGTGGCACCGATAGTTATTAAAAGCACCAAAGCATTAACCTTTAACAACCTCATTTTTCACTTGGAATACACATTTAAGTATTTTATCAAGCTGAAATCAAACACTAAAAATAGAGTGAAAAATTGACCCATTCTCTTTAGCCTAAAAAGAATAAATGTGATCAAGAGTAAGGGCATTAGTATAAAGAGGGTGTTCATAGTTGTTTTAGTGTCAATTAATGTTATCCTATTCACTTATGGTTGGTGTAACTTAAGTGTCAGGGAATTATTTTAGAAATATTCACTACAATTATCAGTTAGTCATCAGTATTTCAAGATTATAGAACACAAAAAATTAGCCAGGCATGGTAGCATGCACCTGTGGTCTCAGCTACTCAAGAAGCTGAAGTAGGAGGGTCACTTGAGCTTGGGAGGCAGAGGCTGCAGTGAGCTGAGATCACGCCACTGCACTCCAACCTAGGTAACAGAGTGGCACCCCCATCTCAAAAAAAAAAAAAGAAAGAAAGAAAATAAGAACAAAGTTTAAAGAATTTGTAGTACCAATAACTGATTTATTATGCATTACATAAGAACTCTAGATTCACGAATTTTCAGATCAGAGTATTGAGATAGCAGACCCCCAATGACAAATTTAATTTAGTTCAATTTACACCTATTCACAACACACCTCAATAGTAGATTCTCAACAACTACTACTGACTACCCCAAACCTCTTGCCACATGACTACACCCCAGGCACTTCACTGGCCACTAAAGGAACACAGAGATGAATGCAACATAAGTCCTTTCCATGTGGGAAGACATGTATACAAGGAATACTACACAGGATAGAACACGATAATATGCGTGAGCCACCACACTGGCCTGCAACATGATTTTGAATGTTGCTCCTGGTTGCACAAGTGTAACCTGATTCTCCAGTCTTCCTAATAATTCTGTAGGAAACCCAATATCCTTAAAATAAATAATCCTTCACTCAAATCCACCAGAATTTATTTCTACAGCTAGCAACAAAACAATGTTGGAAGATGCAGCAACTAATAACTAATAAGTACTTGGCTTTTCTTCTGTCATATTTCCACATGTTGCCCAGCCCAGAGTATTAAGCAGGACGCTCTATCACATATCACAGCAATGATCCCCAAACCTGGCTGGACATCAGAATCAAATTTGGGAGCTTTCAAATTCAAAATAAGAGTATTTGACCAAGGGGCCCAAAGAGCACCATTCATTCATTCTATTTATTGAGTTCCTGCTTATTTTTAGGCACTCTGCAGGTGCTAGGGATCAATGGTAAAAAAAAAAAAAAAATTGTTGTCTCTACTGGAAATGACTGCCTTGTGGGAAAAGAGAAAGTAATCTCCCAAGCACCTTGATGAATATGTAATTATAAATGAAATAAATATTTTTAAAAAACACAACTAAAAATAAATATTTTAAAAACACAACTTTGTGTTTTTTTAATTAACAATTTGTGTAATTTTAATTAATAATCAACCTCTAGATCCACAAGAAACGTTTTTCTACAATTGATCTTCCTGATAATATGCTTATATTCATAAAAGTCTTTCTCCTACTTTCCAAAATAAATGCATACCTCTCATCCAACCCAAACCTTAACATGCTACTTTCCCCTAGGTTATGCCTCCAGAGTATCAGACAAGAGCATACCTGAAAATACTGGTTTGGAAGAAATCTCCCTTAACAATGAACCAAAGCACCTAATCCATAGGGCTTTCTATCTTTTTTATAAGGCTTGGCATTAGAGATTGGGCATTTTGGTCCACATTGCACATGAATTCAGAACAGATAAAGCAAGTATATTTGTCAGGATTATTCTTTTCAATATAAATGGAATATTTTGTGGGACTCCCAAATTTTTTCAGATGCACTGACTAAAATCTGTAAATACATGGTGTGCTTTATTCAATTAGGCATTAAAACCAAATTTATCAAATCATATAATTAAATGTTTATTCCAGTTAGTCAATTCTCATCTTATAAAATGTTTATTTTCTACTTAATATTAACAAAAATTAAAATTATTTAAATGTTTGCTGAAAAATCATTGAGGACAACTTAAAAATTATCAATAGATGTCAGGTACAGTGGCTAATGCCTGTAATCCCAGCACTTTGGGAGGCTGGGGTAGAAGGTTCACTTGAGGTCAGCAGTTCAAGAACAGGCTGGTCAACATAGTGAGATCTAGTCTCTACAAGAAAATTTTAAAAATTAGCCAGACATGGTGGCATATGTCTATACTCTCAACTACTCAGAAAGTTGAGGAGGGAGGATCACTTGAGCCCAGGAGGTTGAGGCTGCAATGAGCTATAATCACACCACTGCACTCCAGCCTGGGCAACACAGCGAGGCCCTTTCTAAAAAAACTATATACACATACACACACACACACACACACACACACACACACACGTATATATACATATATATACACATATATATACATATATACACATATATATACATATATACACATATATACATATATATACACATATATACACATATATATGTAGATATGTATTTTTTCAAGATTCTTGTAGAGAGTACACAAATACAAATGTGTAAGGAAGCGGTCATGCTCATCACTGAGTGTGAACAGTGACAGTAGTTTTATTTGACAAGCACTATTATTTAAAGTTTGTTTAATCTAAATGTCTTCAGGAAATGGGGATAGGGAGGAGCATGCTTTCTTGAATTCATCTTCACCACAGAGCCTGCCACTCCCTATTATTAGCACTTAGCTCAATAAACTTATTTATAATACCTGTATGCACCCCACCCCTCACCTTGGTCCTTTGAGTTTACAATTCCCATAAGGGAATAGTGTGCCTTTGTAATAATACAGGAAGGTAATTGTTGAGAGACAATTCTCCAAGTGTCTTACACATTTCTGCACTTACTTCCCTTTATTCATACTACCTTTTCAAAGATGTTTGAACAGCAAACAGCCCTCAAAGATGACATAGTGTCTCCCTCCATACCAAAAGGGAGACATGCTCACTAGCCTTAGGAAAAAGATTCAGGTTTCCTAAGCTCTGGATTTCTCTCCTGTCACAAACCCACTACATGTGCTTGTGTCACCTAGCCCCACTTTACATCATCCTCTGGTAATTATGGATTGGGGAACCAGTGCGAAAGTGCTGATACTCTGGCTATTGCTACTGTAGAGGGTGTAAACCAAAAGTATCTAAGATGGGTCTCAATCAATTTAGGAAGTTTATTTTGCCAAGGTTAAGGACACACCCATGACAGCCTCAGGAGATCCTAACGACATGTGCCCAAGATGGTCAGGGTACAGCTTGGTTTTATATTTTTTAGAAATGCATGAGACATCAATCAATACATGTAAGATGTACATTGGTTTGGTCCAGAAAGGTGGAACAACTAGAAGCAGGGGCTTCCAGGTCACGGGTAGATTTAAAGATTTTCTGATTGGTTGAAAGAGTTATTATCAATAGAAAGGAATGCCTGGGTTATGCTAAGGGGTTCTGAAAACCAAGGTTTATCATGCAGATGAGGCATCCAGATAGCAGGCTTCAAAGAGAATAAGCTGTAAATGTTTCTTATCAAACTTAAAGAGTGTGTTCTATCAGTAATTTCAAAAGGGAAAGGGGTATAATGAGGCATGTCTGGCTCCCCGTTACAATCATGGCCTGAACTAGTTTTTCAGGTTAACTTTGGAATACCCTTGCTAAGAGGAGGGTCCATTCAGATGGTGGGGGGCTTAGAATTTTATTTTTGGTTTACAAGAGTAATACATTTCCCTTAGTCTCTGCTTCAAGAGTTTCAAATATGGTTCCCTCTAATCTTTTTAAGTGGTCTTTGTCCAGCCTCATGCAGTTTTCTCACCTGCTTGTGCTCAAGCAAGTACCCATATATGAGTGTCTCCTTACAGTTTGTTGTCTAAGTATCTCCCTTGCCTCATCCTAAACCCAGCTCCGTCCATATCTCCAGAGCTCACTCTCTCTCTCTCACTCATTCTTGCTTTCTGTCTTGGTCTCACTGAAGCTTTTTCCTCTCTGGTACTCTGACTTGTGAACTCTGGGATGCCTGGGCCTCCCTCAGACCCCCAGTTTCTTCTCAACTCAGGGAGACCACTAGGCTCTGCCTGTGTAGCTCCTCTCCATGCCGTGCCCGGAATCTCTCTCTAGGTTGTCAATTGGGCAATCACAGGCCTCACCTTGTTTGTTTCCCCTCTCAGGATCACTTTCCAGTGCTACCTGATACACACTGTCTTGAAAATCATTGTTGCACATATATTTTGTGCAATTTTTTAGTTGGTTCAAAACAATTAAGCAGGCAGGAGGATAAATCAAGTCCTGGTTACCCCATTTTGGCTGAAGGTTGGAAGCAGAGGTCTTATGTTTTGATGGCATGTTTTGCTGTCCTTTTTTCTCTCTCTCACTCTCTCTCTTTTTCTGAGACAGGGTCTCACTCTGTCACCTAGGCTGGAGTGCAGTGGCAAGATCATAGCTCTGCAGTAGCAAACTCCTAGACTCAAGTGATCCTCCCTTCTCAGTCTCCTGAGTAGCTGGGACTACAGGTACTCACCACTGCACCTGGCTTACTGTCCATTTTAAGGCACAAAAGATGTTTAGTGGATGTTGGTACTTGGGCTGTCCAAAGCATAAGGCTCTAACAGTCTCAGACAGATGAACTGCCTTTAAGAGGTGCGGTTGCTACATGGCACTTTGGGCAGAGACTTCCCAGGAATCTGGACGGATACCTGTACAGAGTAAGGTGATATCTGTGGTAATGCCTGAAGAGTATCAGAGCAGGACTCATGCTTCCAGTACTATGGTCAGTTTTTCTACTTCTGCCTCACCATAGGATTGTTTTCATTGAGGTTTTTTTTTTTTTTTTTTTTTTGAGACAGAGTCTCATTCCGTTGATGAGGCTGGAATGCAGCAGCACGATCTCAGCTCACTGCAAACTCTGCCTCCTGGGTTCAAGTGATTCTCATGACTCAGCCTCCTGAGTAGCTGGGACTACAGGCATGCACCACCATGCCCAGCTAATTTTTGTATTTTTAGTAGAGACAGGGTTTTGGCATGTTGGCCAGGCTGGTCTTGAACTCCTGACCTCAAGTGATCTGCCCACCTCGGCCTCCTAAAGTGCCAGGATTACAGGCATGAGCCACTGTGCCCGACTGAGTCATTTCCTTTTTTTTTTTGAGATGGAGGCTCGCTCTGTCACCCAGACTAGAGTGCAGTGGTGTGATCTCAGCTCACTGCAACCTCCACCTCCAGGGTTCTATCGATTGTCCTGCCTCAGCCTCCCGAGTCACTGACACTACAGGCATGCAACACCATGCCTGGGTAATTTTTGTAGTTTTCATAGAGACAGGGTTTCACCATGTTGGTCAGGCTGGTCTTGAACTCCTGACCGTAGATGATCCACCCTGCCTCAGCCTCCCAAAGTGCTGAGATTACAGGCATGAGCCACTGCACCCAGCCATCATTTCTTAATAAACTGACACGTTCCACAGCTTAATTTTCTGTACTGTTTAATTTTGCAATCATCCCAAACAGACTGGTACAATCTATTTATGGTCCAGGCACTATAATTGTTTTTTTCTACATATTGCCTCTTTAGTTTTCACAAGCACCACATTACACAGGTACTGTGTTATTCTCATTTTACAGACGAGGAAACTGAGGCTCAGAAAAGTTAAATGACTTTTCCATCATCACATAGCTGGTAGGTGTGTTTACAATTAAAATGTATACACTTCTAACCTCATGTAATGGTTCAAGAAGAAATAAATTTACACGGGAGATAAACTGGACTATTCTTCTCAAAACACTGATCACAATATGTATGGCCATATGACCACAGGAAAGAAAGGGGCCTAACATGGAAATCATAATCCTCATGTTCTAGGAGTAACCTGTTGGGACTTCTTGACTTGTCCTTGAACATGGCCCATCTCATACAAGAGACCATCGAAAGAACTGGCAGAGTGAGTGCTACCAGGGGCAGAACAATGGCATAAATGTAAGACTAGCATTTAGGTCTCATCTACTGGGACATGCAACCATCCGTCAGGGAGAAGACCATGAAAATGGGCAAAAAGGAGTAGCTAGAGACAGAATTCCATGTGTATCTTGCAAATCCCAAAAGGCCAAGGAACTGCCCCATTAATTTTTAGCTCGATAAACCAAGTCAAGTTTCATAAAGGTATTCAAAACTACTAACTGAGTTAGAGGGGTTTAAACCTAGAATGAATCTCTGTTCCATGAGAGTGATAGAGTTTCAGAGGATACTTGCTTATCCAAGATATGCTAGAAAAAGCATTTCTTCAATAACTAAACATAGGAAGATAAAAGATCTTTAGACTCTGTGAAGAAATTCTCTGAGAGAGATCGCACTGAAGTCCCAAGGAAACACAAACATAAATAATCTCAGTAAATGGCTCAGTTGTGTTGTCTACAGCTTAAGCATACATTGTATTTCTTTCTCCTAGATAATTCAGAATTTTTTTTTCTTTTTTGAGACAGAGTCTTGCTCTATCACCCAGCCTGGAGTGATCACAGCTAACTGCAGCCCTGACCTCCAGGGCTCAAGCAATCCTCATCTCAGCCTCTCGAGTAGCTGGGGACGACAGGTGTGTGCCACCACGCCCAGCTTTTTTTTTTTCCCCTTAGAGATAGGGGTCTTCCTACCTTGCCCAGACTGGTCTCAAACTCCTAGTCTCAAGTGATCCCCGCACTTAGCCTCCCAAAGTGTTAGGATTACTGGCGTGTGCCACTACACCTGGCCTAAAATAATTGTTTAACAATTGAATTGAATTTCCACTACTCTTCCATCGATTATATTATATATTATTCCTTGAGTGAATTTTAAATGGCTAAGAAAATCTGATTAAATATTCCATATGTCAATGGTCGTTTAAATTTCAATGAATATACTAAACAACAATAATGTTGAATGAAATTAGTAATACTTTAAACTTTTAATAAAACTGTGTAAATTAATTACTTAAATGGTTAATGTTCTGAAAGTAAAGCTTAATGGGACATTTTTAAAAAGTAAATACCAGGGGAATCTTCTGGCAGGAAATCAAGAATAAAATCAATTCAAAGAAGTTCTGTTATTTTAATATGAGTAATATTACTGATAAGATGGCATAACAGCAGATTTTTATCATATAGTTTTTAAGGAATATCTGAACTGAAAATTTGAATCTCTTTTGGTCAAGGATGCCTTCTCTTTTTTAAATTCATACTAATTTAATAGTTGATTAGTATGAGTGAACTTACGATTATCACATTTGAAGAACATTTTAGAAAGTTTTAAAACACACCAATACCCTTTACTAGTAGTCATTTCATAAAATATTGTGAAGAATAAATGAGCAAATACCTGTAAATGCTTATCAGATGCCTAAGACATATAAAGTGTTCAATAAATGTTCATTATTGTTGTGATTGTTATTATTTAAGACATTTTTGTGCTTTTTGGTTGGAGATAGTAGGTTTAAGTTTTGTTACTACTTACTACTTTCATCTTATTTAACAAAGACGTGTCATCAAATCAAATTCACCAAAGAATCCCTATAGCACATTTTATGTTTTATTTTATTTCCTTATTTTACAGAGAGAGTCTTGCTGTGTCACCCAGGTAAGTGTGCAGTGGTGCAATCATAGCTCACTGCAACCTGGAACTCCTAGCCTCAAGCAATCCTCCTGCCTCAGCCTTCCCAGTAGCTACCACACCACCATGCCCAGTTACTCTTATGTATAGTTTTTTGCAGAGGCAGGGCCTTTGCTATATTGCCCAGGCTGGTCTCAAATTCCTGGCCTCAAGCAATTCTTCTGCCTTGGCTTACAGAGGCATATTGGGATTACAGGCATGAGCCACTGCACCTCGCCTTACGGCATGTTTTACAGGGAAAAACAATGTCTAGTGATACTTGAAAAATGTTCACATTGTTTAGAAATTACATTATAATTATAAACCTTTATTAAAAACATATGCAACCTTGCAAATGGAAAAGCAGAAGCCTTGGCATCAGTCCAGTAGAGAAATTTGACTATACCACCACTATGAACCCATCCAGGAGTAACAAAGCTAACGTATAACCTTGCCAGTACTTCTCACACATACACAAACCACTCACAAATTTTTAAAAAGAAACGAAAAAAAATAAAGTAAGCATGCTTATCTAACCCAACTTTCCAATTTATTAAAAATTGAAGCCACTCTCTTCCTGGGAATTGTGGTTTATATTGTGTACAGAATTTTAAGATTTAGTGTATCTCTGGCTTTTGCCTTCACTCTCTCTTCAAGTCACCTATCTTCCACACTCATATTTATGGATGTTCTAAGGAATGCATCACATGTGACAACAAAAATGACTGGTCAAAAATTATCTGGAATTCTTGTTGTTTAGCCTCGTCTATCTCACTAAAATAGTGATCTCTACTCGCTACCTTCTACTGCATGGGACTGCCTTTGTTAAGCACCAGTGCCACATCAGGTGGATATCACCCTATCCACGAAATACCATATCCCTAGGTCCACTGCCACCTTCTTTGAGTGGGTACCATGACTAATTCCCAAAGGTCTCACTCTCTTCCACCTCTAGTACCACAATCTGCCTTTAAGAAGCTGAGCCATGCTACAGAAAATGTAAAATCATAGGGATTGTGCTATGACAAAAGTATAATTTCTAATTTTAGTTAGACCCTTAACACCCCTCATCAATCTTTAACCATTGTTACCTCTCCTTCTATAGCAGATTGCAAAAATGGCCATGCATTGCTCCCCCTCCCCCCTCCCCCTCCCCCTCCCTCTCCCTCTCCCCACGGTCTCCCTCTCCCTCTCTTTCCACGGTCTCCCTCTGATGCTGAGCCGAAGCTGGACTGTACTGCTGCCATCTCGGCTCACTGCAACCTCCCTGCCTGCTTCTCCTGCATCAGCCTGCCGAGTGCCTGCGATTGCAGGTGCGCGCCGCCACGCCCGACTGGTTTTCGTATTTTTTTGGTGGAGACGGGGTTTCGCTGTGTTGGCCGGGCTGGTCTCCAGCTCCTAACCGCGAGTGATCTGCCAGCGTCCACCTCCCGAGGTGCCGGGATTGCAGACGGAGTCTGGTTCACTCAGTGCTCAATGGTGCCCAGGCTGGAGTGCAGTGGCGTGATCTCGGCTCGCTACAACCTCCACCTCCCAGCCGCCTGCCCTGGCCTCCCAAAGTGCCGAGATTGCAGCCTCTGCCCAGCCGCCACCCCGTCTGGGAAGTGAGGAGCATCTCTGCCTGGCCGCCCATCATCTGGGATGTGAGGAGCCCCTCTGCCTGGCTGCCCAGTCTGGGAAGTGAGGAGCGCCTCTTCCCGGCCGCCATCCTGTCTAGGAAGTGAGGAGCGTCTCTGCCCTGCTGCCCATCGTCTGAGATGTGGGGAGCGCCTCTGCCCCTCCGCCTCGTCTGGGATGTGAGGAGCGCCTCTGCCCGGCCGCGACCCCGTCTGGGAGGTGAGGAGCGTCTCTGCCCGGCCACCCCATCTGAGAAGTGAGGAGCCCCTCCGCCCGGCAGCCGCCCTGTCTGGGAAGTGAGGAGCGTCTCCGCCTGGCAGCCTCCCCGTCCGGGAGGTGGGGGGCAGCCCCCGCCCGGCCAGCCGCCCCTTCCGGGAGGGAGGCGGTGGGGAGGGGGGGCAGCCCTCGCCCGCCAGCCGCCCCGTCCAGGAGGGAGGCGGGGGCGGCAGCCCCCGCCCGGCCAGCCTCCCCGTCCGGGAGGTGGGGGGCGCCTCTGCCCAGCTGCCCCTTCTGGGAAGTGAGGAGCCCCTCTGCCCGGCCACCACCTCGTCTGGGAGGTGTACCCAACAGCTCATTGAGAATGGGCCATGATGACGATGGCGGTTTTGTCGAATAGAAAAGGGGGAAATGTGGGGAAAAGATAGAGAAATCAGATTGTTGCTGTGTCTGTGTAGAAAGAAGTAGACATAGGAGACTCCATTTTGTTCTGTACTAAGAAAAATTCTTCTGCCTTGGGATGCTGTTGATCTATGACCTTACCCCAACCCGGTGCTCTCTGAAACATGTGCTGTGTCCACTCAGGGTTAAATGGATTAAGGGCGGTGCAAGATGTGCTTTGTTAAACAGATGCTTGAAGGCAGCATGCTCATTAAGAGTCATCACCACTCCCTAATCTCAAGTACCCAGGGACACAAACACTGCGGAAGGCCGCAGGGTCCTCTGCCTAGGAAAACCAGAGACCTTTGTTCACTTGTTTATCTGCTGACCTTCCCTCCACTATTGTCCTATGACCCTGCCAAATCCCCCTCTGCAAGAAACACCCAAGAATGATCAATTAAAAAAAATAAAAAAAGACCTTGGGAAATACAATTCTAAGTCTTAACATTTTGCATATGTTGTTAAATGTCCACGATTCATAGCAAATGAGATCTATTTACTGGGAGTAATCTTCCCGATATGGCCATCTAAACTTGGTTCTCCATCAGATATATTCTTGGGAAATTACAATTGTTTTTTCCAACAAGTAGACACTTGTTTACCTTCTAGGTTTGTGGAAGGCATGAAGTCCTTTAATAGTACCATTTTTTTTTTCTTATTTAATATTTACTGTCATATATGTTTGCATGATTAAAAGGAGGCATTAAAAAAAAATGGCCATGCATTCTTTCCCTGCCCTAAAGAAGTGGGATTTATTTCTCCACACCATGCTTCTTAAAGTAGGGGATTTGAAATAATAATAATAATAATAAATATTTCACTACTTTTTGAATGCAGGTTGACCACAGGATTTGCTTTGGCCAATGAAACATTTTGGCATATATGAGCAAGCAGAGATTTAAAAAACAGTTGCATGTTGGAACTTAGAATGATCTCGTAATCCTGTAGCCATGTGAACAAGCCGGGGCTAGCCTGATACAGGATGAGAGACACAGGATTCAGTCACCCTCATCACCACAGTTGACAGCCAGCCTACCACCAGACAGACATGTGAGTGAATCATTCCAGGACCAACTAGACTCAGCCAACCAACAAATCACAAACCAGAATCAGATGAACCTGACCCAGACCAAAACTATCCAGCAGGTTCATGAACAAAATAAATGGTTTTTGTTTCAAGCCACTACGTTTTGGAGTAGTTTATTATGCAACAATAGATTAATGATACACCCTCTGACTCCCTTCAGTAATTATTCTAAACATTTGCATCATTCAGTGACTGCTCCTACTCTCATCCTTAGCACCTAACTTTATCTCCTTTTTTGATGGGTAAAACAGACACACTAAACTTCCCACACTTTCCTAACAGCACACTATAGCATAGTGGTAAAGAGAACTGCTTTTGAAGCCAGATTCCCTGCTCTTCTCTTGGCTCTGAGCACATAGAAGCTGTAAGACCTAGAGAAAATTACACAACTTCACTGCATCTCATGTTTCTTCTCTGTAAAAGTAGGGATAATGATAATATCTACCTCATAGAGCTGTTGCGAGAATTATAAATGAAGAGTTTAGATCATTATATTGTATACAGTGAATGCTATGTAAACTATTATTTTTATTGTGCACTGGCCAGTGATCCAGAGCTTAATGTTTTTAACAGTTTTACTTACATACCATACTTACATGTAAGTAAATACTTATATATAATATATATGTTATATATATATAAAATATATATATGTAAATAAATACTTATATATTCACATATTATGAAATTCACACATTTAAACTATATGTTTCAGACCAGACGCAGTGGCTCATGCCTGTAATCCCAGCAATTTGGGAGGCCGAAGCAAGTGGATCATCTGAGATCAGGAGTTCGAGACCAGCCTGGCTAACATGGAAATTTCATCTCTACTAAAAATACAAAAAATTAGCCAAGCATGGCAGCACGTGCCTGTAGTCCCAGCTACTTGGGAGGCTGAGCCAGGAGAATTGCTTGAACCTGGGAGGTGGAGGTTGCAGTGAGCCAAGATCACACCACTGCACTCCAGCCTGGGCAACAGAGTGAGAGGATCTCAAAATATATATATAAATAAATAAAATAAAGTACATGATAAAATATACGTTTCAGTGTTTTTTAATATATTCAGAGTTGTACAACCATCACCACTATCTAATTTTAGAGAATTTTTATCAACCCAAACACACCTTGATTTTGAGACCTGAAGTCCTAAGGTGGATCTGAGACAACTCCTTGGGAAAAGGCCAAGAATACAACAGGGAAGATCAAATATGAATGCTGGTCCGATGAACAAGAGCAGAACTGTAAACAAGAGATGAAGCCAAGAATCAGAGTCAGATGGTAATATGGTTAGATATATTTTAACTAATAGTGAAAAGCGGGAGAGGATAGGACACAAGCAGCATCAGACCGTCTACAGCTAACATTATCATGTATGCCAGACTGACTTAAAGATGTGGAATCAGGGGAAGCTCCTCACTCCCCACATTCAGGTCTACCCTGCCAAGGCTGGCAAATCAAGGGTTTGCCCCAGATCTTTGCCCTCTAAAAGGTCCTAACATATCTTGGTATGCCTTAGTCAAGTTTCTTTGGGTTACAAGTATAACCTTCAAACATCCCCCAAGTTCGGAATCAAGGGGATTGCTTTTCTCTTTAATGTTCTATTAACATAGTCTTTTTTATTGTTGTTTTGTTTTTTGAGTCAGGGTCTCACCTCTAACACCCAGGCTAGAGTGCAGTGGCATGATCATAGTTCACTGCAGCTTCAATTTCCTGGGCTCAAGCGATCCTCCCACCTCAGCCTCCCTAGTAGCTGGGACCACAAGCACACACCACCACACCCAGCTAATTGTTAAATATTTTGTAGAGACAGAGTCTCTCTATGTTGCCCAGGTTCTGTTAACACAGTCTAAGCCCTCATCTTATGTAACTTCGGGGAGTTTTGTCTACTCCCCAAGCATTTCTAAGACTCCCTGGGAAATGTTTACATCTTCCACAAACATATTCTTACTGTTTCCTGCCATCTCTTACTCCAGACGACTTCTTTGTTTCTCACAATATCTCTTCCTACTCTCTCAAAGTCATTTCTCCATCCTACCAGAGGTATCCCCTTAATACCTTACCCCAAGTATAGACATAGACATCTCCCTAAAATCCCAAAGTGCAGGAAATGTTAGGCTATACTGTTATAAATTTAACTGCTGACTTCAAGATAAAAGAACTACAATAACACAGGAAAGATGATTATTTAAAACAAAACACAGCTATCATTACTCTAGAATCTACTGGCCATACTTGACCCCAGAGGGTTTCTCAGCAGTCATCTTTCCCTTTACCCTTCAGTTGGTCACAGAATTATAGAATACAGCTTCCCTCTCAAGGTCAGGACTACAGCAGCAGAAGTCCCTTCAATGCTGTCTTTTCCTCCCCAAACCATAGTTTATCTTTCTCACAGACCCAGCCAGAGAAAAGTCTGTCCTTCTCTACCTATGGGCCACATTTCTTCCTTGAGGATGATTGACAGTGGGAACATGCATTGTATTCAGGAAAGCACTCCTATTTCCTGCCATGCAAAGCATGATATGGACCCTGGCTCCAGGAAGCCAATACATTATAGTTGACAGTACAGTTCCCAAAGTCTGATTTATTCAGCCTTAACTAGGACCATGTTGTTCACTGACTGTCCTGCTTAGGCACTGCTATGACAGACACAGTATAGTTCCTTTTCACACACTGTCCTCCAGGTTACAGTGAAAAGGACTTCAGATCTGCATGCTTCTCTTCTGGTCTGTTCTTCCAATCTCTTTTGAGGGATTTTTTTGTTTGTTCATTTCTTTTTAGACAAAGTCCCATTCTGTCACCCAGGCTAGAGTACAGTGGTGCAATCTTGGCTCACTCCGCCTCCCAGATTCAAGCAATTCGCCTGCCTCAGCCTCCCAAGTAGCTGGGACTACAGATGTGCGCCACCACGCCCGGATAATTTTTGTATTTTTGGTAGAGATGGGGTTTTGCCATGTTGGCCAGGCTGGTCTTGAACTCCTGGCCTCAAGTGATCTACCTGCCTCACTCAGCCTCCCAAAGTGCTGAGATTACAGGCATGAGCCACTGCGCCTGTCCTGAGCAAATATTTAAACCAAAAATACACACAACTCCCAAAGAAAATAATGATTATAGTCTGTCATAGAGCAGCCTAAGTCTGGAATTTGAAGAAAACAATCAACTTTGTAGGCAGCCAGTTCTGTAAAAGATGAAATTGCAGGCAAAAGATGCACATAATTCATACTACTAACCCAAACATGTATCTAAAATGGAGGCATATTAATTTGTTGTCTATCACTGTGTCAGGGCCCTCCCCAAAACATTAAATAGTATTATTTTTCACTCAATGATATGGTTTGGATTTGCGTCCCCGCCCAAATCTCATGTCAAATTGTAATCCCCAGTGTTGGAGGAGGAGCCTGGTGGGAGGTGACTATATCATGGGGGCAGATTTTCTCCTTGCTGTTCTCATGCTAGTGAGTGAGTTCTCACAAAATCTCATTGTTCAAAAGTGTGTAACACCTTCCCGTTCTCTCCCTTCCTCCTGCTCCAGCCATGAAAGACATGCCTCCTTCCTCTTTGCCTTCTGCCATGATTGTAAGTTTCCTGAGGCCCCCCCAGCCATGCTTCCTGTACAGCCAGCAGAACCGTGAGCCAATTAAACCTCTTTTCTTTATAAATTACCCAGTCTCAGGTAATTCTTTATAGCAATGTGAGAACAGACTAATACACTCAACATCTCCAAGACTAAAACAGGTGACTAAAATACCTATATACAATTCCAAGCATCATTATTCAATACAGATATAACCTACAGTCCTTAAAATGACAATCTTTCTAGCTCAGGTGATTTGTCCATGTCTACTTTGACCAGCTGTGACCAGAGGACAGGATAATACAAGCTCACAGTCCCTTAAATATACTTCCAAAATCCAAAAATATATTAAAATTCAAAGCTTTTTTATAACTCATTTGGCAGCAAACTGACTACCTCACATTATATACAAAAATTAACTCAAAATGGATAAGAAGCCTAAATGTACAAACTAAAACTATAAGACTCTGAGAAAGTAATGTTTAGCCTAGGGGTTTTCAAATGGGGGCTTGTTTGCCCACTACAAAATATTTGGTAATTTTGTGAGACATGTTTATTGTCATGGCTGGAAGAAAATGCCACTAGCATCTAGTGAGTAGAGGGTAGAGATGGTGTTAAACATCTTTAGATGCACAAAACAGACCCCACAACATGGAATTGTTAGGTCTAAAGTGTCAGTATTGCTGGGGTTGAGAAATTCTACTTTAATCTCTAACATTTCTTCATTCACTCCACTGGTTCTCATCTATTTTGCTCCAAATCTTTCACAAGCATGCTGAAAAATTTTGATCAATATGTAAAAATGTGTGCAGTGGAGTCACAAATTTACTTTTAGCACATAGATGTGCAAAGAAATTTTAGCTGATTTCCTATAACAAATGTGCTTTTTCTTGTGAGCCCCCATACCCACTCCATTAGGTGATATGGGGAAAAAACCCCTAGCTTTTAATTGAGTCTGATAAATTTGGTCTGGTTAAGTAATTGAACTGTCTCTTAAGGTGAATAGGATTCTTATGTATGATTTAGTCTTTCAGATTTCCCTCTCTTTTCCCTGCTTTAATCTGTGATGGAGTGTGGATGTTTGGTGTTGAGGGTGAAGAGTGCCCCTCTGTCTCAACCCAACCCTAGCCTTGTGGAGGTGTTGCTGGTCAGAATCCATTCCTGGGCTAGTTTGCTCCATCCTCTCTAGGCTCACTGAGGATCTGGCAAACCTCCCTCATCATACTGGCGATGGTGGTGGTAAAGATCTCATACCTCCCCAGAGCTGTACCACCCATGTTGTTCCATGTTTAGACAATGCTCCTTGGAGTCCTCAGCTCCAGGACCACTTTGGCACCTCCTGAAGTTGCAGTGAACTCCTCTGGTAAGATCCCTAGCCAAATTCTCAGCTACCATTCTCATGTCTGTAGAGCCTGTGAGACCCTCTGGGTGTCTACCATGTTGGTATCACCATTTTTCCTTTTATGTGGTGGCAGCAGCAGTGATGGTCATGGGGGTAGCTGGCAAGGAGTCTTTCTCTTTTAATTAAAATTAGACACAGATAGCAGACTTTTTGTTTAAAAAGAAATCTAGCTGAGTTGTTGGTTTTAGTTTTCCCCCCGGGTATGTGAAAGAAGCAGGAAGAGCCAACAGTCTTCTTTTGGTTTGAAAAGGAAATGCTATAATACCCTTTTTGAGTAACAATTATATCATTTTTACTTAGGCAAATATAATGTTATTATCATTAAGCAATCAATGAAAGATGTAGATGACTTTTAACCATTAAAAAACTTTATTTTTTAAGAGAAGTTTTAAGTTCACAGCAAAACTGAGAAAGAATAGAAAGTTCCCATATACTCCCTGTCATTTCATTTACAGAAATCAACCTTATATGTATATATTAGTTTCCTAGGATTCCTATAACAAATTACCACTGTGTGGCTTAAAACAACAAAAATTTATTCTCTCACAGTTATAGAGACCAAAAGTCTGAAATCAGGGTGTCAGCAGGGTTTGTTACTTTGGAGTTTCTGATGGAATTCATTCCATGCCTCTCTCCTAGCTTCTGATGGCTAGAGGAAATCCTTCACATTCTTTGGCTTATAGACACCACTCCAGTCTCTGCCTCCATCTTTACATGACATTCTCTCCTGTGTGTCCCTGTGTCTTCTTCTTTTGTTTCATAAGAACATCTGTCGTTGGATTTACAGCCCACTCTAATCCAGGATGAGTTCATTTCGAGATCCCTTCCTTAATTATATCTTCAAAGACCTTTTTTCCAAATAAGGCCACATTCACAGGTACTAGGAGTTATAGCTTGGACACATCTTTTAGGGAAACACAATTCAATCTACTACAATGTGTATTTAAACCTTTTAGAAAATAGGGAACTCAATTAAAATTTATTACCAGGACAAGAAATTATCAAGACAACCAATCAGAATTACAGAATTTTAGATATTAAAGGTTACTTTCAGAGGCCACAGCAACAATCTCTGAAGTCATAGTGTCTTACAAGACTCTTAATTAAAATTAATATTTACAAGGAGAATTTTATGATACAAACTAGTATCTATTTACTGACCTTCTTGGAGAAGACTAAACATTTCTCCTTATCTTGTTAGTATTTCTTTCACCATAATTATGAAGGCCTTTGGTTTTTCAAGCCTAAGTCCTAGAAAACCAGCCATTAATTGGCATCAATATGGGAAAAAACCAGCTCTGAGAGCTCAAAACTGACCATATGGGAAAGGAGAAAGGAGTAAAATAGGATACTTAGTAAATGCAGTATGGGACATGAAATGCTTTCCATCTATGCTTCCCACCATAGATTATAAGTTTCTATAAAGATTTGCATTTTGAATTATTGAAAATTTTTTCCAGAGGTGGCATTAACAGGTATGGTATGGATGTGTGGACATGACTCAAAGGAGCTGTGTGAGTGGTACTGGCCAGATAAAGTACAGTAGCTCTGCCCTTGCCTCTGTTATTGGACCAATGGGCTCACCTTCTACTTGCAGAGCCCTGTACTCCCATACTTCTGCAGCATTTCTCATGTTCAGTGACAAAAGTAAGCCTGTTATCCTGTCTGTGTGGTATGGCTATAGCAATGGGCATGGTATTGGAAGAGGAATTTGCAATAAAATGTACAAGTCCCTCCCTCACTAGAGTTCAGGTGTGGCAGGAACACTGCCTTGTGGGTCAGATTTGGCATTTCAATCCTCAAAGGATCTCTGGGGCAAGGTATATACCCAAAAAGAAGCAGAAGTGGAATTGTAAATAGGGTAGTCTGAGAGTTGAGCATAAAGTTAGGGAGACCCACAATTGCTTTCTGGCCCAAAGAGCAAGAGTGAAATAATAAGGAGCAAATGTAGCCAAGAAACAGGAGACAGACGGAAATTAGACCAGAATGAAAATAATTCAGAACAAGTAAAAGCGGTCTTGGGTAATTTGTATAATTTCCACAAAACAACACTAAAGATTGGTTTATTGATGGGTGAGGTGGAAGTGTTGGATTATCTTGAAATGTAGAACTCCTTTCAACTTCATGCCTCCCCAGTTATACTTCTGTGTATCTACCCAGAAGAACTGAAGGCAGGGACTTAAAGAATATTTGTACACTCATGGTCATAGTGTGACTGGCTTAAGTCCTACTGCTCAGCACTCAGAGGCCAAATACAGGAGAAGCAAGGTGTGGTGAAAGAAGAGCAACTTTAGCATTAGCGACTAATGCTAGCAGTTGGGGAATGGCCAAAGGGCATTCTGGTTACAAATCTGGTGCCCCAGGTAAGGAACTGTGTATTTTGATCGACTCAACCTGTACACTTGGTTTCCAATGAGTGGAGCAATTGGCTGTGGCGTGCACCAGGGCTTACCCACCCATGCTACTGGGCAGGACAGAGTCCACTTGCAAACTCCAGCTTCTCATGGCTAGCTGACCTCACAGCTGGGACCTTAGGGAATTCCCAGCAGTTGCCAAGACTGCTTTTGTCTTGGGGATTTTCCCTTCTCTCCCCTTCATGTCTCCCCTACATGGACCTGGTATAGGTCATCTGTGGTGCTGTGTAGGCCTCTGTGACATCTGGACTGAATGCAGGTCACTCTGTGGTGCCACCTGGGTTTCACACAAGATCTCAGGACTTTTCTCCAGTCTTCCCTCTTTAGGATCAATTTGGAATGCTGGGTCTACATCAGATCTGTTTGTGTTTGTGTCTCTGTTTACTGTTACCCCTCCATCCCAGAGTACTTTAGCACAGTCTCTGTCCCACCCAATAAGACCAGTCTCATCTGCTTGTCAGAAGGCAGCAAGAGAGGCTGCTCCTGTCCTTCTTGGGGAGTAACAGTTTTCAATCTCCTGGCCCCTGATATTGTCATCCTTTTGGGGAATCCAGAGTATTTCCTGTAACTGTGTCAAGCTTTGGGGGATGTAGTGGGGAAGCATGTGAACTTTTTCCTAGACTATCTGGGACTCCAGCTGGTTATATATTATTGCCAGTTTTTGTGCACATTTTTAACTAATGGGCAAATTATACTAAGGAAAATTCACAGTTCAAATGGTTAGCCTGCAACTATAAAGTTAAGAAGTCTTCTAAAGCTATCAATTTATTTTCTTTTCTGCCTACTTTGAACCTGTTATTAAGCTACTGGTGTTGAAATAAAACTTACTGTTTCAAGGTTACTTGGAGATTTCATTTTTCTTATACACATCAGCCAGTTCTGGCTAAAATGGAAACATTAGAAACTTATTTGAAACTGACAGAAAAAAAAGAGGTAAAAGATGTTTTTAAAATCAAAACTGCCATGAAAACTGCTTTACCCAAATTCTGGTCCACAGCTTTCCTTAGATTACCTATCAGGTTTTAGCCATGTGAACAGGTTCCAATTTCATCAGAAAAATAATTTGGATTCAGCTATCTTTTGTAAAGTGGTGAGTTTGTATTGCTATCTTAAGGCTAGGGTTCTGAGGTAAAAGCTATTGGACCTTTGTGCATGTATGTATACATGTTTTGATAAGCTTATGGGTATGTACATGTATTATGTTATACGTTGTGTCTAGCATGCTACAAAACTGGCTTAAAAGTAAATGGGTACTCATAAATTAAGTCCAAATGCTTTTCAAATTTACATGAATCTCTGGTAAATAAAACTGGCTTTAAAATTATTGACAAAAATAGGCCAGGCATGGTGGCTCACATCCATAATCCCAACACTCTGAGAGGTCAAGGCAGGAAGATAGCTTGAGCCCAGGAGTTTAGACAAGGCTGAGCAATGTAGCAAGACCCAGTCTCTGCAAAAAATAGAAAAATTAGCCAGGTGTGGTGGCACATGCCTGTAGTCCCAGCTATTCGGGAGGCTGAACTGGAAGGATTACCTGAGCCTGGGGAGGTCAAGGCTGCAGTGAGTTGTGATTGCGCCACTGCACTCCATACTGAGCAACAGTGAGACTCTGTCTCAAAAAAAAAATTGGTAAAAATAGAAATGTCATCAGAATTGTCAGCATACATTTTTGTCTGAGTTTATTGAACAAATGATTTTATATTTGTCTCTGTCTCTATATTAAGATGTCAGGGTTTGTCACAAAGGTTGTGAGACTATAAACCCAGGCAAAAACAGAATAATCTTTGTGTGATTTTTTTTGTCAAATAAGACTAATTTAATATTGTTGGTTCAATGAAAATAGCTGAATCTTCTGAGTTAACAGCAAAAGGCATTTAACTTTAAGGTTCTTACTTAAGTGTTCACCTGCTATTCCGACTTTAAAAATGATTAACTGGGAAATAAATTCAAATAATAATTAGTTTTGTGTAATATCTCGGTTTTCACAAGTAATCTAGAGAAACTGTTAAAATGAAAAAATTGAGTACATGTAAGTAAGATAAATGCTTATAAGTGGACTTTATGTATAATTTTAAATTTTTTAATTATTTTGAATTAAGTAATAAATTCTCATTTAATGTCTGGGTAATTTCCAATTAAGAAAAGCTTATGATATAGAAAAACATATTTCTAAAACTGTGGAATGGTTTCATCTATAAAATGCTAACATCCATCAGACAGTTCAGAGTTTTCTGCACTAAAATTTAAGGTTTCAAAGGATAAGTATTCTAGCTGATATACGCTTCTGTAAGTTGTGTTCTTATTGAAAAAAATTGTGTCATTTGGAGGTTACTTGAAAGTTATTTATTGAAGAAGGTTAAAAAATCAGTAAGTAGGGGAGCGAGATGTGAAAAAAGTTATGGCATATTTTTGGTAAGGAATGCCATAAAGAAAAGAGAATAGTTTTTATGAAAAAGGATCTTGTACGGTAAATTTTTGTCCTAAAGCAAAATGACTGATTATTTAGGAAAGAGGACAAATTAGGAACCCCAAGCATGTCATAGTTACGTGTAAGTTATGACAAGGATAGTGAAGGAGAATTTATCAAAGGAATTTTGTGTGTGATTAAGTTAGCTATAATTTTTTTTTTTTTTTTTTGAGACAGAGTCTGGCTCTGTCACCCAGGCTGGAGTGCAGTGGCACAATCTCGGCTCACTGCAAGCTCCACCTCCCAGGTACACGCCATTCTCCTGCCTCAACCTCCCGAGTAGCTGGGACTACAGGTGCCCGCCACCACACCCAGCTAATTTTTTGTATTTTTAGTAGAGATAGGGTTTCACCATGTTAGCCAGGATGGTCTCAATCTCCTGACCTCGTGATCCACCCGTCTCAGCCTCCCAAATTGCTGGGATTACAGGTGTGAGCCACCACACCCAGCCGAGTTAGCTATAATTTAAAAGGAAGTGTTTACAATAGTCTTTCTAAAGAATGATCCCCAGAGATTGGCAAGACGGCCAAATAGGAAGAGTTACAGTCTGTAGCTCCCAGCAACACCAACACGGAAGGCGGGAGATTTCTGCATTTCCAACTGAGGTATATTGTTTGTCTCATTGGGACTCGTTAGGCAGTGGGGACAGCCCACAGAGGGCGAGCAAAAGTAGGGTGGGGCATCACCCCACCGGGGAAGCGCAAGCAGCCAGGGGTCTCTCCCTCCCCGAGCCATGGGAAGCCGTGAGGGACTGTGCTATCTGGCTCAGATACTATGCTTTTCCTACGGTTTTTGCAATCCAATCCCCAGACCAGGAGATTCCCTTGTGTGCCTACACCACCAGGGCCCTGGGTTTCAAGCACAAAACTGGGCGGCTGTTTGGGCAGACACCGAGCTAGCTGCAGGAGTTTTTTTTTTCTTACCCCAGTGGTGCCTGGAACCCCAGCGAGACAGAACTGTTCACTCACCTGGAAAGAGGGCGGAAACCAGGGAGCCAAGTGTTCTCACTCAGCGGGTCCCACTCCCACAGAGCCCAGCAAGCTAAGAACCACTGGCTTGGAATTCTCACTGCCAGTCCAGCAGTCTGATGTCAACCTGGGATGATCAAGCTTGGTGTAGGGGGGGCATCCACCATTACTGAGGCTTGAGTAGGCGGTTTTCCCCTGACAGTGCTAAGGAGGCTGGGAAGTTTAGATTGGGCCAAACGCACCACAGTGTGGCAAAGCGGCTGTGGCCAGACTGCCTCTCTAGATTCCTCCTCACTGGGCAGGGAATCTCTGAAAGAAAGGCAGCAGCCCCATCAGGGGCTTATAGATAAAACTCCCATCTCCCTGGGACAGAGCACCTGGGGGAAGGGGAGGCTGTGGGCACAGCTTCAGCAGACTTAAATATTCCTGCCTGCCAGCTCTGAAGAGTGCAGCAGATCCTGACAAGGAGCATTCTCCCAGCACAGCGCTTGAGCTCTGCTAAGGGACAGACTGCCTCCTCAAGTGGGTCCCTGACCCCCGTGCCTCCTGACTGGGAGAGACCTCCCAACAGGGGTTGACAGACACCTCATACAGGAGAGCTCCAGCTGGCATCAAGCCGGTGCCCCTCTGGGATGAAGCTGCCAGAAGAAGGAGAGGCAGCAACCTTTGCTGTTCTGCAGCCTCCGCTGGTGATACACAGGCAAACAGGGTCTGGAGTGGACCTCCAGCAAACTGCAGCAGACCTGCAGAAGAGGGGCCTATTAGTAGAAAAACTAACAAACAGAAAGCAACAACATTGCCCTCTCCCTCTCCCTCTCCCTCTCCCTGTCCCTCTCCCTCTCCCTCTCCCTCTCCCCATGGTCTCCCTCTCCCTCTCTTTCCACGGTCTCCCTCTCATGCCGAGCCGAAGCTGGACTATACTGCTGCCATCTCGGCTCACTGCAACCTCCCTGCCTGATTCTCCTGCCTCAGCCTGCGGAGTGCCTGCAATTGCAGGCGCGTGCCGCCACGCCTGACTGGTTTTCGTATTTTTTTGGTGGAGACGGGGTTTCGCTGTGTTGGCCGGGCTGGTCTCCAGCTCCTAACCGCGAGTGATCCGCCAGCCTCGGCCTCCTGAGGTGCCGGGATTGCAGACAGAGTCTGGTTCACTCAGTGCTCAATGGCGCCCAGGCTGGAGTGCAGTGGCGTGATCTCGGCTCGCTACAACCTCCACCTCCCAGCCGCCTGCCTTGGCCTCCCAAAGTGCCGAGATTGCAGCCTCTGCCCGGCCGCCACCCCGTCTGGGAAGTGAGGAGCGTCTCTGCCTGGCCGCCCATCGTCTGGGATGTGAAGAGCCCCTCTGCCTGGCTGCCCAGTCTGGAAAGTGAGGAGCATCTCTGCCTGGCCGCCATCCCATCTGGGAAGTGAGGAGCGCCTCTTCCCGGCCGCCATCACATCTAGGAAGTGAGGAGCGTCTCTGCCCGGCCGCCCATCGTCTGGGATGTGGGGAGGCCTCTGACTGGCTGCCACCCCGTCTGGGAGATGAGGAGCGTCTCTGCCCGGCCGCCACGTCTGAGAAGTGAGGAGACCCTCCGCCTGGCAGCCGCCCCGTCTGAGAAGTGAGGAGCCTCTCCGCCTGGCAGCCACCCCGTCTGGGAAGTGAGGAACGTCTCCGCCCGGCAGCCACCCCGTCCAGGAGGGAGGTGGGGGGGGTCAGCCCCCCACCAGGCCAGCCGCCCAGTCCGGGAGGGAGGTGGGGGGGTCAGCCCCCCGCCCGGCCAGCCGCCCCGTCCAGGAGGTGAGGGGCGCCTCTGCCCGGCTGCCCCTACTGGGAAGTGAGGAGCCCCTCTGCCCGGCCACCACCCCGTCTGGGAGGTGTGCCCAACAGCTCATTGAGAACGGGCCAGGATGACAATGGCGGCTTTGTGGAATAGAAAGGGGGGAAAGGTGGGGAAAAGATTGAGAAATCGGATGGTTGCTGTGTCTGTGTAGAAAGAGGTAGACATGGGAGACTTTTCATTTTGTTCTGTACTAAGAAAAATTCTTCTGCCTTGGGATCCTGTTGATCTGTGACCTTACCCCCAACCCTGTGCTCTCTGAAACATGTGCTGTGTCCACTCAGAGTTAAATGGATTAAGGGCGGTGCAAGATGTGCTTTGTTAAACAGATGCTTGAAGGCAGCATGCTCATTAAGAGTCATCACCACTCCCTAATCTCAAGTACCCAGGGACACAAACTCTGCGGAAGGCTGCAGGGTCCTCTGCCTAGGAAAACCAGTGACCTTTGTTCACTTGTTTATCTGCTGACCTTCCCTCCACTATTGTCCTATGACCCTGCCAAATCCCCCTCTGTGAGAAACACCCAAGAATGATCAATAAAAAAAAAAAAAAACAAAAAAAAAAACAAAAAACAAAAAAGACCATGTCATCTGTGAATAAAAAAAAAAAAAAAAAAAAAGCAACAACATCAACATCAACAAAAGGACCTCCACACAAATACCCCATCCAAAGGTCATCAGCCTCAAAGATCAAAGGTAGATAAATCCATGGAGATGAGGAAAAAACAGCGCAAAAATGCTTAAAATTCCAAAAAACAGAATGCCTCTTCTCCTCCAAATGATTGCAACTCCTCTCCAGCAAGCATGCAAAACTGGATGGAGAATGAGTTTGATGAATTGACAGAAGTAGGCTTTAGAAGGTGAGTAATAACTCCTCTGAGCTAAAGGAGCAAGTTCTAACCCAATGCAAGGAAACTCAGAACCTAGATAAAAGGTTATAGAAACTGCTAACTAGAATGACTAGTTTAGAGAAGAACATAAATGACCTGATGGAGCTGAAAAACACAGCACAAGAACTTTGTGAAGCATACACAAGTATCAATAGCCGAATCAATCAAGCAGAAGAAAGGATATCAGAGATTAAAGATCAACTACTGAAATAAGGCTTGAAGACAAGATTAGAAAAAAAAAGAAAGAAAGAAAGAAAAGGAACAAACAGCTGGGCGTGGTGGTTCACGCCTGTAATCCCAGTACTTTGGGAGGCCAAGGCAGGCGGATCACCTGAGGTCGGGAGTTTGAAACCAGCCTGACCAACATGGAGAAACCCCATCTCTACTGAAAATACAAAAATTATCTGGGTGTGGTGGCACATGCCTGTAATCCCAGCTACTCAGGAGGCTGAGGCAGGAGAATTGCTTAAACCCAGGAGGCAGAGGTTATGGTGAGCCAAGATCATGCCATTGCACTCCAGCTTGGGCAACAAGAGCGAAACTCCATCTCAAAAAAAAAAGAAAGAAAGAAAGAAAGAAAGAAAGAAAGAAAGAAAGAAAGAAAGAAAGAAAGAAAAGGAGCAAAGCCTCCAGGAAATATGGGACTAGGTGAAAAGACCAAACCTACGATTGATTGGGGTACCTGAAAGTGACGGGGAGAATAAAGCCAAGTTGGAAAACACACTTCAGGATATTATCCAGGAGAACTTCCCCAACCTAGCAAGACAGGCCAATATGCTGATTCAGGAAATACAGAGAACATCACTAAGATACTCCTTGAGAAGAGCAACTCCAAGACACATAATCGTCAGATTCTCCAAGGTTGAAATGAAGGAAAAAATGCTAAGAGCAGCCAGAAAGAAAGGTCAGGTTACCTACAAGGGGAAGCCAATCAGACTAATAGCAGATCTCTCGGCAGAAACCCTACAAGCCAGAAGAGAGTGGAGGCCAGTATTCAACATTCTTAAAGAAAAGAATTTTCAACCCAGAATTTCATATGCAGCCAAACTAAGCTTCATAAGCGAACGACAAATAAAATCCTTTACAGACAAGCAAATGCTGAGATTTTGTCACCATCAGGCCTGCTTACAAGAGCTCCTGAAGGAAGCACTAAATATGGAAAGGAAAAACTGGTACCAGCCACTGCAAAAACACACCAAAATATAAAGACCAACAACACCATCAAGAAACTACATCAACTAATGTGCAAAATAACCAGCCAGCATCATGATTATAGGATCAAATTCACACATAAAAATAATAACCTTTAATGTAAATGGGCTAAATGACCCAATTAAAAGACACAGACTGGAAAATTGGAATAAGAGTCAAGACCTATCTGTGCTGTATTCAGAAGACCCATCCCAAGTGCAAAGACACACATAGGCTCAAAATAAAGGGATGGAGGAATATTTACCAAGCAAATGGAAAGCAAAAAAAAGCAGGGGTTGCAATCCTAGTTTCTGATAAAGCAGACTTTAAACCAACAAAGATCAAAAAGACAAAGAAGGGCATTACATAATGGCAAAGGGATCAACACAACAACAAGAGCTAACTATCCTAAATATATATGCACCCAATACAAGAACACCCAGATTCATAAAAACTAGTTCCTAAAGACCTACAAAGAGACTTAGACTCCCACACAATAATAGTGGGAGACTTTAACACCCCACTGTCAATATTAGATAGATCAATGACACAGAAAATTAACAAAGATATTCAGGACTTGAACTCAGCTCTAGACCAAGCAGACCTAATAAATATCTACAGAACTCTCCACCCACCCCAAAGCAACAGAATATACATTCTTCGCAGCACCACATAGCGCTTATTCTAAAATCGACCACATAATTGGGAGTAAAACACTCCTCAGCAAATGCAAAAGAATGGAAATCATGACAACAGACTCTCAGACCACAGTGCAATCAAACTAGAACTCAGGATTAAGAAACTCACTCAAAACTGCACAACTACATGGAAACTGAACAATCTGTTCCTGAATGACTAATAGGTAAATAACGAAATTAAGGCAGAAATAAGTTATTTGAAACCAAGGAGAATAAAGAGACAACATGCCAGAATCTCTGGGACAGAGCTAAAGCAGTGTTTAGAGGGAAATTTATATCACTAATTGCCCACATCAGAAAGCAGAAAAGATCTAAAATCAACACCCTAACATCACAATTAAAAGAACTAGAGAAGCAAAAGCAAAGAAACTCAAAAACTAGCAGAAGACAAGAAATAGATCAGAGCAAAAAAGGAGATTGAGACAAAAAAAAAACCCCCGTCAAAAAATCAATGAATCCAGGAGCTGGTTTTTTGAAAAAATTAACAAAATAGACAGACGGCTAGCAAGACTAATAAAGGAGAAAAGAGAGAAGAATCAATCAGATGTAATAAAAAATGATAAAGGGGATATCACCACTGATCCCACAAAAATACAAACTACCATCAGAGAATACTATAAACACCTCTTTGCACATAAACTAGAAAATCTAGAAGAAATGGATAAATTCCTGGACACATACAACCTCCCAAGACTAAACCAGGAAGAAGTTGAATCCCTGAATAGACCAATAACAAGTTCTGAAATTGAGGCAGTAATTAATAGCCTACCAACCAAAAAAAGTCCAGGACCAGGTGGATTCACAGCCGAATTCTACCAGAGGTACAAAAAGGAGCTGATACCATTCCTTCTGAAACTATTCCAAACAATAGAAAAAGAGGGACTCATCCCTAACTCATTTTATAAGGCCAGCATCATCCTGATACCAAAACATGGCAGAGACACAACACAAAAAAAGAAAATTTCAGGCCAATATCCCTGATGAACATCAATGTGATAATTCTCAATAAAATATTGGCAAACCAAATCCAGCAGCACATCAAAAAGCTTATCCACCACAACCAAGTCAGCTTCATCCCAGGAATGCAAGGCTGGTTCAACATACACAAATCAATAAACATAATCCATCACATAAACAGAACCATGTAAAAATGACATGATTATCTCAATAGATGCAGAAAAGGCCTTTGATGAAATTCAACATCCCTTCATGCTAAAAACTCTCAATAAGCTAGGTATTGATGGAATGTATCTCAAAATAATAAGAGCTATTTATGACAAACCCATACTCAATATCGTACTGAATGGGCAAAGCTGGAAGCATTCCCCTTGAAAACCGGCACAAGACAAGGATGCCCTCTCTCACTACTCTATTCAACATAGTATTGGAAGTTCAGGCAAGGGCAATCAGGCAAAAGAAAGAATACAGGGTATTCAAATAGGAAGAGAGGAAGTCAAATTTTCTGTGTCTGCAAAAGACATGATTGTATATCTACAAAACCCTATCATCTCAGCTCAAAAACTCTTCAAGCTTATAAGCAACTTCAGCAAAGTCTCAGGATACAAAATCAATATGCAAAAATCACAAGCATTTCTATATACCAATAATAGACAAGCAGAGAGCCAAATCATGAGTGAACTCCCATTAACAATAGCTACAAAAAGAATAAAATACCTAGGAATACAACTTACAAGGGACCTGAAGGACCTCTTCAAGGAGAACTACAAACCACTGCTCAAGGAAATAAGGGAGGACACAAACAAATAGGAAAAAAAAATTCCATGCTCATGGATAGGAAGAATTGGTATCATGAAAATGGCCATACTATCCAAAGTAATTTATAGATTCACTGCTATTCCCATCAAGCTACCATTGACTTTCTTCACAGAACTAGAAAAAACTACTTTAGATTTCATATGGAACCAAAAAAGAGCCCATATAGCCAAGACAATCCTAAGCAAAAGAACAAAGCTGGAGGCATCACACTACCTGATTTCAAACTATACTACAAGGCTACAGTAACCAAAACAGCATGGTACTGATAGCAACACAGATATATAGACCAATGGAACAGAACAGAGGCCTCAGAAATAACACCACACATCTACAACCATCTGATCTTCGGCAAACCTGACAAAAACAAGCAATGGGGAAAGGATTCCCTACTTAATAAATGGTGATGGGAAAACTGGCTAGCCATATGCAGAAAACAGAAACTGGGCCCCTTCCTTATGCCTTAAACAAAAATTAACTCAAGGTGGATTAAAGACTTAAACATAAAACCTAAAACCATAAAAACCCTAGAAGAAAACCTAAGTAATATCATTCAGGACATAGGCATGGGCAAAGACTTCAAGTCTAAAACACCAAAAGCAATTTCAGCCGCAGCCAAAATTGACAAATGGGATCTAATTAAACTAAGAGCTTCTGCTCAGCAAAAGAAACTATCGTCAGTGTGAACAGGCAACCTACAGAATGGGAGAAAATTTTTGCAATCTATCCGTCTGACAAAGGGCTAAACTCCAGAATCTAAAAGGAACTTAAACAAATTTACAAGAAAAAAAAAACCCAATCAAAAAGTGGCAAAGGATATGAACAGACACTTCTCAAAAGAAGACATTTATACCTGGTGTGGTGGCTTACGCCTGTAATCCCAGCACTTTGGGAGGCTGAGGCGGACGGATCATGAGGTCAGGAGATCAAGACCATCCTGGCTAACACTGTGAAAGCTCATCTCTACTAAAAATACAAAAAAAAAAAAAAATTAGCCAGGCGTGGTTGTGAGCGCCTGCAGTCCCAGCTACTCTGGAGGCTGAGGGAGGAGAATGGCGTGAACCCGGGAGGCGGAGCTTGCAGTGAGCCGAGATCGTACCACTGCTCTCCAGCCTGGGGGACAGTGCAAGACTCTCTCTCAAAAAAAAAAAAAGAAGACATTTATGGGGCCAACAAACATATAAAAAAAACCTCATCATTACTGGTCATTAGAGAAATGCAAATCAAAACCACAATCAGATACCATTTTATGCCAGTTAGAATGGCAATCATTAAAAACTCAGGAAACAACAGATGCTGGTGAGGATGTGAAGAAATAGGAACGCTTTTACACTGTTGGTGGGAGTGTAAATTAGTTCAACCATTGTGGAAGACAGTATGGCGATTCCTCAAGGATCTAGAACCAGAAATTCCATCTGACCCAGCAATCCCATTACTGGGTATATACCAAAAGGATTATAAATCATTCCAAAGGATTATAAATCATGCACACGTATGTTTATTGCAGCACTATTTACAATAGCAAAAATTTGGAACCAACCCAAATGCCCATCAACGATAGACTGGATAAAGAAAATGTGGCATATATACACTATGGAATACTATGGAGCCATAAAAAAGAATGAGTTCAGCCGGGCACAGTGGCTCACGCCTATAATCCTAGGACTTTGGGAGGCTGAGGCGGGCAGATCACCTGAGGTTGGGAGTTTGAGACAAGCCTGACTAACATGGAGACACCCCATCTCTACTAAAAATATAAAATTAGCCAGGCTTGGTGGCACATGCCTGTAATCCCAAATACTTGGGAGGCTGAGGCAGGAGAATCGCTTGAACCTAGGAGACAGTGGTTGCAGTGTGCCGAGATCGCACCATTGCACTCCAGCCTGGACAACAAGAGTGAAACTCTGTCTCAAAAAGAAAAAAAAAAAAAAAAGAATGAGTTCATGTCCTTTGCAGGGACATGGATGAACCTGGAAACCATCACCCTCAGCAAACTAACACAGGAACAGAAAACCAAACACCAAATGTTCTCACTCATAAGTGGGAGTTGAACGATAAGAACGCATGGACAAAGGGAGGGGAACATCTCACACCCGGGCCTGTTGGGGGGTGGGGGGCAGGGGGAGGGAGAGCATTAGGACAAATACCTAATGCATGTGGGGCTTAAAACCTAGATGATGGGTTGATAGGTACAGCAAACCACCATGGCACATGTATACCTATGTAACAAACCTACATGTTCTGCACATGTATCCCAGAACTTAAAGTAAAATAAAAATAAAAATAATGAATGATTCCCTAGGTTTAAATAAGGTTTTCCTAAGGTGTTGGTTTACTCTTAATGAAATTAAAGGAAATTTTGCTTTTTAATTCTATCACCTATTTTTTTTTAAAACTTCTCAGATTCATATCTCAGAAGTTCAGCTTTTGTTGTGTCTGGCTGTTTTCAGTTTTTTCCTCCCTTTGAAAAGGACACTCTCCTTCAACTTTTTCCATCAGCTCCTCTAATTCTTTTTCCTCTGATTCTAACTGTTGGGGCCTGATGCTGAAATGTTTTATCTTAGAAGTCTATAAAAGCAGTGTTTTCCTCCAATATAACTTGATTCTGTACTCCCGGCTTTTCTTGATATGTGATTTTCGTTGTAATCAGGAAACTTCTCACGCAATTGCTCAGAGAGATGTATTCCCTTGCTATACTCATAAGCATGAATACACTCTTCTTGTGTCTGATTAAATTCAAGCACTTTTTTCAAGTATGACTTTCAGGTTACCTACATGGTCTTCCCATAAGGAGAAGCAGTCACACAGCAGAAGGGGTTTTTTGCCTGTGTAGTAACTTGCTTAAGAAACAAGATTTTAATGTTTTATCAAATAATTCCCATGCTCTCTTTAATGGGTTTTTAATTGCCTAGAAAAACTGAGATTTAAAAGGGTTCAGGTTTTTATGTCCTGGTAACCTTCTCAATTGCCTTTAAAGTCTTTAATTATCAGTTTGGTTAAATGAGTAACTATTATTTTTACAATGAATATTATCTTGTTTTGATCAAATGTTTTGAGGCTTTTAAAATCTTTGACCAATGTCCTCAAAATCAAAATCGTAAATTAAGTCTCTGACTTATTGCTGGGGTTTATCGAAGCTATAAAAATTAATCACTGCAAGGTTGTAAAATATTTTTACAGCTTCCAGTCAGGTCATAGACTCCGGTATCACACCTCCAGCTCCTTGAAAAGGTCCTTATCAGGTGATATTAACTAATCCTTGTGCTTTTAAGTTATAGGGACTTACACATATCTCATCCAAAGAAGGCATCAACTCCTGCCAGTATCTGACACTAAACTGCAATTAACCAAAGCCTCATCGTTAGACTCAGGCAAAGGCGACAAAGTAAACTGCTTTCATGAGACACAGGGACAGTCTTGTGTTCAAAAATATTAAGATTCATTTAACAATTCTGCCTCTATCTGAATTAATATAATTTATTCTGTGCCTTGATACTAAATAATTTAAGTGTTTAGCTACCTATGAACTTCTTTTCCTGTTATTCTCAAAACTAGGCAGGGTTTATGACCTTTGTGTTTGAAATGTTGTTAATTCTTTCTGTTTTGTTTTACCTACAAAAGTTGAAACTCTTCAATCCCGCCATGCCTAGAGACTATAACGTAATGTTGTAAGGGCCAGTATTGAGAGCTAAAATTAGTTCAGACCCTACAAATCAAGGATGACACAGATGCCAAAACAGCTAAACAAAATGCTTGCATTTTGTATAGCTAATTGCAACAAGCCAAGATTACAGCAGCTCAATGCATAGAATTTATAGATAAGTCAATTTTGTAACCCTTGCCTTTTGGTTTTTGCCTCTTAACATTGCTTAAGAGGGGTTTTAAGGTTAATGAGTGCCTGCCCACCTCCTTCCCATCTGACCTAGAACGTTTAATTGGCTGTAACTCTTTTGACTCTAAGTCAGTTGGCCGCAGGAGGGACATGATGGACTCAGGGCAGGTAGCACACCACCCTGGCATTGATATGGGACAAAATTAAAGTTTGGACACTGATACTGTCTCTGGGATACCTTGACCAAAAAAAAAAAAAAAGTGGAATGCTGTTTTGAAGGCATGAGCCTAGCCATTCCCCATCTGCGAGCATTTGATTAGTAAAGCTTTCACCACAGGTCACTTCTCATGTTTTTGGCCTCTAGGCAGCAAGCAGCCAGACGTGAGCCAGTTGCAATAGCAGCATTATTGACAATAGCAAAAGGTGGAAGCAACCCAACTGTCCATCCACGGATGAATGGATAAACAAAACGTGGTATATATATATTATTCAGCCTTAAAAAGGAAGGAAATTCTAACATATGCTACTATATGGATGAAACTCGTGGACATTACACTAAGTGAAATAAGGCAGTTATATAAATACAAATGCTGTATGATTTCACTCATGTCAGGTACCCAGAATAGTCAGATTTGTAGAGACACAAAGTAGAATGGTGGCTGCCAGGAGCTGGGGATAAGGAAGAATGAGGAATTATTGTTTAATGAGTACAGAACTTCAGTACTGCAAGATGAAAGAGTTCTAGAGATGGATGCTGATGGTGGCTGTATAACAATATGAATGTACAACTGAACTGTACACTTATAAATGGCTGAGATATTAAATTTTATGTGTATTTTGCCACAATTTAAAAAAAATTAAATGAAAGTAGGCCAGGCGCGGGGGCTCACACCTGTAATCCCAGCACTTTGGGAGGCCGAGGCGGGCGGATCACTTGAGGTCAGGAGTTCGAAACCGGCCTGGCCAACATGTGAAACCCCGTTTCTACTAAAAATAGAAAAATCAGCCGGCGTGGTGGCGCATGCCTGTAATCCCAGCTACTCGAGAGGCTGAGGCAGGAGAATCGCTTGAACCCTGGAGGCAGAGGTTGCAATGAGCCAAGATCGCGCCACTGCACTCCAGCCTGGACAAGAGCAAGATTCCGTCTCAAAAAAGAAAAAAATAATGAAAATAAAAAGAAACTAACTGTGACTGAAGAACAACCCACATCAATGAAAACCAGTAGGGAAAGGAGACCTTCCCACTGCCCAGCTAATCATAGCCTGACCACCAGGCTGTGGTAACTGGAAACCAACGGCGTGGCAAGTGTAGGTCTGGGGCTCCGCGCAAGGAAGGACTGCAAGGAAGCCGCAGGTTAAAGCGGGTCAACCCGCAAAATAGGCTGCCACTGCGCAGGCGCCCATTGCGCCTACCAAGACACCTTGTAAACGTGCCCGGAAATGACGCCTGTAATGCTGAGACAGACTCCCAGAAGATCTGAGCGAGTCGCGTAGCTGAGCCCGGCAGGGGCTGGGGTGGTGCTGCTGCTATGAGCTGCACCATCGAGAAGATCCTGACAGACGCCAAGACGCTGCTGGAGAGGCTACGGGAGCACGATGCGGCCGCCGAGTCGCTGGTGGATCAGTCGGCGGCGCTGCACCGGCGGGTAGCAGCTATGCGGGAGGCGGGGACAGCGCTTCCGGACCAGGTCAGGCAGAGGGTAGGAGTCCAGTGCTCTCGGATTCTGGGCACTGAAGGGTGGAGAGCGAGGTAAAGTGGGAACTCGGCCTGGAATTTATTCCCGGTCTCAGAGGGCGGCGGTGAGACCATTTTCCTGGGTCGGGGCTGAGAATCCTGCCCTGGAGCCCTAACTTCTGCCTCTTCAGTTGCATCTGCCGCTGTTCTCTTTAAGGCATGCTTAGTCTGTCTCTATTTGTCCAGTATCAAGAGGATGCATCCGATATGAAGGACATGTCCAAATACAAACCTCACATTCTGCTGTCCCAAGAGAACACACAGATTAGAGACTTGCAACAGGAAAACAGAGGTTAGTCAGGCCTTTTCATATCTGGTAATAGTTTAAAGTTATTGCAAAATTGCCCTAAACATTTACAAAAGTGTACATATATTTCCAGGTCAGTACTTTTAGTAGGAGAGTCCTCCTGATCTGGCCCAGTAACAATAAAGTTTGTTAGATTACCCTTTTCAAGGTCATCTGACTAATATTGCAGCAGCTTACCAAAGAGGTGCTGTGTAGAGTTGGTATTATTGCATGGTTTATTTTTAAGCATCCTCAGATGTGTAACAAAAGAGTTCATAGCCTCATGGACTTAAAATTTAATGTTTAAGTATTAATATAAACACTGAAGGTAAGATTTAAGGTTTTGTTTATGTTCTTGTTTGTGCAAGGTGAAGCAGCAGAATTTTATTCTAAGGGTATATATTCTTAGGCTTGATTAGTACATTATTAATGATTGTGGTATTAATAGTTGTTTACCAGAGGGGTTTCACATATATCATTCTACTGTATTCTCATATCTTCATTTTTATCTACCACAATGCAGTTAAGAAATAGGCTCAGAAGAAGCTAAATGATTTACTTATGAGTATTAACCAAGCAAGTTACAGAACTGAACTCAAACACATGTCTTCTGATGATACATCCATTGTTGTTTCTGCAAGACTTTGCTTCTCTGCCTAGAAAGTTACCTTTCACATAGACTTTAACTGTTCAGTTTTGCGGACTTAAACATTGATTTACAACTTTAGATTCATATTATCTATATAGTGTTACAAAATTCCAACTGTTAAGACTTTGGATTTGGGAACTGTCTCTCAGACATCACTGCCAAGTTCTTTTATTTTTTGACAGAGCTATGGATTTCCTTGGAGGAACACCAGGATGCTTTGGAACTTATCATGAGCAAATATCGGAAACAGATGTTACAGTTAATGGTTGCTAAAAAAGCGGTGGATGCTGAACCAGTCCTGAAAGCTCACCAGTCTCACTCTGCAGTAAGAAACTTTGAATAAATTCGAAATGAACCAAATTGAAATCTTGAGATTGTTTTAGATTGTGTGCTTGTTTTTTTGCTTTGTGAGATAGGGTCTGGCTCTTGTCGACCAGGCCGTGGTGTAATGGCACGATCTCGGCTCACTGCAACCTCTGCCTCCTGGGCTCAAGCCATCGTCTCACCTCTGCCTCCGGAGCAGCTGGGACTACAGGTGCACACCACCACGCCCTGTTAATTTTTGTGGGGTTGTTTGTTTGTTTGTTTGTTTGTTTGTTTTTTGGTAGAGATGACATTTCGCCATGTTGCCCAGGCTGGTCTGAAACTCCTGGGCTCAAGCGATCCACCCACGTTAGCCTTCCAAAGTGCTGGGATTATAGGCATGAACCACTGCGCCTGGCCATGTGTGCTTGTTTTTGAAGAAAAGTAAGCTCATTTTCCTTTCATGTTTATCACATTTGTTGTTTATTTTGCCATGGCTTTGTAAAGATATGAATAGAAAGAAGGAGGATAGGGGCTGCTCAGATCCTTTTATTTGAGTGGGACTAAGGTTCCCCCTCCCTCACCAAGATCTCTTTTGAAAATGTTCATTAATTCTTAGCGCTCCCACCAAACATAATGCCAGTTAGTGTTGAAGCTGCCTGGTAAACACTTGGTTGGTTATTACTTATACATTTAACTTAAGCTCCTTGCTTGTAAGGCGCATGAATTCACATTTTATTCCTAACATAGTACCTGACATACAGCAGGCAGTCAGTAAACCTTTTATAAACTGAACCACATAGTATCATACTATGTTGTTAGGGGAGAGAAGTATGGTTTTTTAAAAAAACAAACATGGCATAGTTTCTGTTCTTTGCTAATTTGGGAGACTCAGTAATTGTTCTTATGTTTATAGGTGCTTCATGGTTGTCATTGTACATTCTTGTGTACTGTATCATTTAATTCTAGATGTATAGGGTTGGAGCCTACTACTTCTGTGAGATGTAGTGAAATATAAGCTTCATCTTAAATTCCATTGAATGCATTTTACTGACTTAAAAGTTTTAGGAAACAGATATTTTAAATATTTGAATGGCTTTCATCTGGAAGAGAAAAATAGATTTTCTTCTCGTATGGAGGAAAAAACTTGAACCTTGAAAGAGACAGAGTTTACTCAGATAGATAAACTTTCTAAGTGATATGTCCAAAGATGGAATAAAGCACCTTGGAATGTAGTAAGCTTCCTGCCAGTAAAAGTATTCAAATTTAAGTTAAACAGCCACTTAGAGATAGTATCCAACATCCAATGGGTAGTTAAACTACAATTGATTTTTTTTTTCCATTTCAAATCTTTTTATTGGAGTGTGGACCTACTGGGGGATTGATGCACTGGACATAGATAATTTTCAGAAATGAAAATAACATTGCTTGCATCGAATCAGATTTCACCCACAAAAATGACTAAGGCCTTACCAGAGTTGGCATTGGATGAAACCTTAGTCCTTTATGGAAAGGGAATCATGTGGCCTTCTATTTCTGAAATAGACTAAAGATTACTCATTTATTCTCTGCAATTACAGCCATCAGATCCTTTGAAATCTTGGAAGGCATGAGATGATGACATGAGTGTAACACAAATCCATATTGAAGAGCCCAGTATTTTAAAATTCCCCATGTTCACATACCAAAGGGTTACTTATGAGCTGATGCATATCACAGATAACCATATGATTATCAACTTGATGTCTGGGCAAAGAGCGAAAACAGAAAATGCATTCTACTCTTCACTTCTTGGTTTTAAATATAAGAAACATTATATATATTTTAAAAAACTGTATTCCTTAGTAGTGGTATCAATAGAACATATACAACTGGAATGAGGATCCCCTTAAGGAGGCCTTTTTTTTGTTTGTTTTTTAAATAAGTTCTAGGGTACATGTGCAAAACGTGCAGGTTTGTTAACATATGTATACATGTGCCATGATGGTGTGCTGCACCCATTAACTCGTCCTTTACATTAGGTATTCCTCCTAATGCTATCCGTCCCCACTCCCCCAACCCTATGACAGGCCCCGGTGTGTGATGTTCCCCACCCTGTGTCCAAGTGTTCTCATTGTTCAATTCCCACCTATGAGTGAGAACATGCGGTGTTTGGTTTTCTGTCTTTGTGATAGTTTGCTCAGAATGATGGTTTCCAGCTTCATCCATGTCCCTACAAAGGACATGAACTCATCCTTTTTTATGGCTGCATAGTATTCCATGGTATATATGTGCCACATTTTCTTAATCCAGTCTATCATTGATGGACATTTGGGTTGGTTCCAAGTCTTTGCTATTGTGAATAGTGCCGCAATAAACATGTGTGCATGTGTCTTTATAGTAGCATGATTTACAATCCTTTGGGTATATACCCAGTAATGGGATTGCTGGGTCAAATGGTATTTCTAGTTCTAGATCCTTGAGGAATCACCACACTGTCTTCCACAATTGATTTTTTGAAAGAAAAAAAAAAAAATATCCGTGAATACAAGGTCACTTTACTATGGCTTCATGTCTGAGGACTAAAATTGTAGGGAAACTCCATTGTAACTTCTGTATCATAGATTAAATGAACTTTTAAAAATCGTAATGCACATGCTTTTACGTTCTTTATATCTACAGAACAGGTGATTTTTCCACCTTTGTTTCCTTAATATCTTCACAGGAAATTGAGAGTCAGATTGACAGAATCTGTGAAATGGGAGAAGTGATGAGGAAAGCAGTTCAGGTGGATGATGACCAGTTTTGTAAGATTCAGGAAAAATTAGCCCAATTAGAGGTAAGATTGTAGCTAATTTAGGTTCACAGTATTTCATAGTTTTCCGAGTCTGGAAGATATGCCATCACTATCCCATCACTGTAATATATTGATGTTTTCTGTGTGCTCATGATTTAAAATTAAAACTCCTCCTTCATACCCTTTTATACCCTTTTGAAGAAAGGAAATATAGTAAACAGCAATCAATGGAAATACCAACTATGTATTGGCAAGAACTTGAGGTATTATCATATGGGAAGGTAGAGGGAGTGGAGGGGAGAAGTTATATGTGAGATAAAATCCTTCATCTGCCATAATAAGAAGTGAAGTAGATAATGTCTAAAATTGATGATCAGGAAATAGCAGTATAAGCATATTATTTAGAATTACAGAATTAAATACCAAAAGAAATAGATAAAAGTGTTAAAAGTGGTTGCATTTGGGGTACAAAGCCAAAGAACTGCTTGTATAAGCCTTGTAGTCTTGATTTCTTAAAAGCTATGTTTATGTCATATTTTGATTAGAATAGGAATATGTTACAAAAAAAGTTCGGGGTATTAGTGTGCTCATAAAATTGTTAAGGAAAAACATTTCAACTTTGAGAGGCTGAGGTAAGTGAATTGCTTGAGCCCAAGAGTTCAAGAGCAGCTTGGGCAACATGGCGGAACCCTGTCTTTACAAAAAATACAGAAAATTAGCCAGGTGTGGTGGTGCACACCTGTAATCCCAGGTACTCAGAGGCTGAGGTGTGAGGATCACCTGAACCTGGGAAGTCAAGGCTGCAGTGAGCCACGATCATGCATGCCACTGCACTCCAACCGAGTGACAGAGTGAGACCCTGTCTCAAAAAAAAAAAAAAAAAAGCAAAGCATTTCAGTGAATGGTTTGAATGCTGCTTATTACAAGGTGCTGTCCTGGGGCCTTTGAGAAATACCAGAGAGAAAAAAACAGATACCTGCCCAGAGTCTAGTGGAAGGGATAACCCTAGTATTATATGATATTAAATAATATGTAAATGCTAGGAGACAGATACAAATACCGAAGGAAGCACTTCATGTGGTAGAAGATTCGTCGACCACAGGCTCTAATCTCTTAGTTACTCTAGCTGGGACTTCCGCACATCTTGGTGAAGCTAAAAATGCTTTGGTTTACCAGAGTTTTCTGCAGAGGATAAGGATGAAGAGCAGAAGCTACCCTCTCTAGAAATCAAAGGTAGTGACAGGTCCCAAGTAGGAATTAGGAGCTAGTGAAATGATAGCATGACCTTCTATTTATCCCCGATTTACCTCACTTACGGAAACAGCCCTAAGGAAATGTGGGGCAAATTCTACCTTAATACTTCAAGTAGAAAATACACGACCACCAGATTCAGACCCCAGCAATACCACATCCAAGTTGTCTGAATTTGGACAACTTTTAGGAATTTTGTGAGCCAGAGTATCCTCATCTGAAATATATGGATGTAGGCAATGATACCTACCCTACAGATTATTGTGAGATAACATATACAGGGCACCCAAGTAGTACCCAGCTACATGCTCAATAAGTAATTTCTTTCCCCCTTTCCTTCCATTTCTCTAGAACTGTAAGATATCCAGGAGAGGAGATTAATCAGAGTGAAACGATTATTAGGAATTTTTTAAATAAAAGAAATAATAGTAAAACTGTGGGAACCAAGAAGAATATAACAGTGAATTCCTTAAATGGAGAGGACCTTGTTTTTTGTTTCTCCTTTGTAATCCTAACACTTGGTATATAGAAATTACTCAGTAAATTACTACTACAAAAGAGTATCATTGCCTACATCCTACATGTAAATGTTTGTTAAATGAATAAAGTAGTATTTAAGGAAATTCTCAACTAGTGGATTTTTTGTTTCCATAAATTTTTTAAAATTAAAATAATGTTTTCTGCTCCTGGCTCAAAATAATGTGTTGTTGTAATGCAGTTGGACAGTAAAAATACCAGAAATAAACATGCCTTTTTTTTTCCAGCTTGAAAATAAGGAACTTCGAGAATTATTGTCCATCAGCAGTGAGTCTCTTCAAGCCAGAAAGGAAAACTCAATGGACACTGCTTCCCAAGCCATCAAATAACTGAACTCTGAATGATGGCTGGAGATTGTCTATCAAGGAAGGAAGTTACTGTCTTCCCATTCAAGTACTGTCCATTAAGTGTCTTGCCTCAGATTTGATTTAATCTTAATTAAAGGTATCAGGTGGCAATTTAGAATTCCAGTCAATATTGGCTGTCCACAGTTCTCAGATGTGTTAATGTGAATACTACATGCTGAATTTCACCATTCCTTTCTCAAAGAGACTACTTTTAATTTTCATTTCTGGGACCTTGATTTATATAAACTATGTTTTCAGTTCTTTGTTATTTTTCACATCTCTGAAACTTTGAGCATTTTTTATAAGCCAGCAATTTATTTTACATAGCATTGTAAAATACACTTCTAGGAAATTTTAGGAAAGATTTAACTGTTTAAATCTATTTGGCATAAACCTTGATTTTTTTTTTCCATTTGACAAAAATAATACAATTCCACAGAACTAGATCAGCAGATTCTCTGATTTGTAATGTCATTCACCTGTGACATTTTAAGTCTCTCTGGTGCTAAGAATTGGCACTTTATAGCCTGGTGCCTTTACTTTTAATTTGAGAGAACCTACTGCTAGTCCCAGGAAACACACTTGGAAATAAGTCAGCTATTTTTTTTGCCCAGTGATGCTATAGTTGTCATATTGTCCAAAGTTCATATTGTTCAAAGCTGAGGAGCTTGTCCTGTGTATGTGAATGCACACATGTGCACTTAGTTCAAATACTAAAAGTAGCTTTTATTAAATATAATCAGCCAAAAACACACACAAAATAAAAAAAACAAATATAAGTAGTCAGTTTTTCAATGTTATCCTACTAGTTCTACATTCTATTTTAATTTTTATACAATTTCCATTTTATAGTTAAGAACCATCACTTACTTGGATTGGATGTCTTTCATTCCTAGCACTAATAGTTGGCTTTCTTTTTTTTTGTTTACATAGAAGCAGGGTTTTTTTTTATCTTTTTTCTTTTTTTTTGTTTAAGCTATATAAAAAGGTGAGGAAGCAGTTTTGTTACCTAATGAAAATTATTACACTCATAATGCTGTGTAGGCAACATTGAGATTCAAATGCCCAGTGGTCAACTGGGTTCACTCATCAACTCATTCCCGTCCCAGTTTACTCACATTTCAAATTTATAAATTTCTTCATGTTATACTATTCTATTTAGATTTGCCCAGAATTAGTTGAAATAATGCTAAACCTGTCAATATTTTCCAGTAACATTAAGCACCATACTGCATGGGAGAGACACAGTACTAAAAAGAGTTGTTAGTGCTTTATGTGAGTGATATTTCTTTCGTAATGCTATAAAGAACTACAGTTAAAATAACAAAATATTTTAAAGATGTCCTAAAAGCATCTGATCCCAGTAATAACTAATGGATGTCATCTAGAGCAGTGGGTGTTAATGAATAGGTATATGTCATTTAAGAATTTTTCAAATTTCTGTTTGATATCCTGCATAGAATTTGACAAAAAAAACACTTCCAAGTGTGAGCATTTTTTATTTCATTTCCCAAGAGTAAGTAAGTAACTATTAGCCCAGCCATCTGCCTCGAAGTATACCTTAAGTGACCCCATAAATCCATTCAAGAGGCAGGTACTCTATACCATTTGGCAGCCACGGCCAAACCTACCATGGCCAGATTTCAGTGAAAATGATGAAGTAATCAAATCAAGGTATAATATGGTGTCCCTTTATGTGCTTTATGTTCCTTTAGAGCTGTTTATAAAGTTCTTTATATCTCAAGTGTTAGGATAAATCGACATACTAACTTTTCCCCCTGCAAAATTAAAAGCCTGAGGTACAAGTCTAAGAAGCTTTTAGTGCTCTACATAATATAAATTCTGGCTGGTGTTAATGCTATGAAGATAATATGTAGTTAGAAAATTGAGTCGGGGAGGAATGCTCTTCATTTTAAGTGGATTTTAAAGTTTCTCCTTGAGTGGATGAAGAACTTGCCTGGTTTGCAAAAATCTTAGTTCAAAATTATATTTTCTAACAAAAACTGCATTTTGAGAAGATAAGCTAATTTTACTCAGTAGTAAGTCAAATGAGGAAGTGCAGAGGGTTTTTTTACATATATATAGCAACCTTGTCAAGTGGTCCTCACAAGAGTCATAAATACTTTGTAATTAGCACAGTATATTCAGCAGTGTATAACTCTACAAATAGTACCTTATATTAGTGTAGTATTATATCAATATCTTATGTATAATTCTTATATTAATACCTTATGCATAATTGGATTCAAACATTGAAGGTCTATTTTAGTGTTCTTCAAAATGTGCTTCCCTGACCTACTGAAATAGAAACTTGGTGATGAAGTTCAAGAATTTGTATTCTAATCATCTCAAACAATTCCTAAAGACACTGATTTTAAAATATCTAGTCTAGGCCCCATTGTGTAATAGTTAGCACTCTAAAAGATGAAAAAGAAAATAGTCTATGTGCCAACCACTTCATTAGTACTTATGAATTTAAAAATGAAAAAGTCTGGTACAGGAGACAAGTATATATATAAAATTATAATGCAGTGTGATAAATCCATTATAGTATGTATAAGATACAGAAGAGGGACTTTAAACTTGAGAATTCAATAGAGATAATAAATGGGTAGGAGGGAAATAGAAAACTTTGGTGCCACAAAAGCAAAGTATGTATGGTATTGCCAATAATAGCTACCATCTATTGAGTGCTTTACTACCTGTCAGGTACTGTATTATATAAACTCCATTTTAACTGTACCTCATTTTGCAGATACTCAGGCACAAGGAGGTGGTTATTTGTCCAAACTGGAACCAAGATTCAAACCCAGACAGAGTCTTAAGCACATTTTTAATCACTAACTAACTTGAGATGCCTAAATGCCAAATACTGTTGGGAGTTCAAGTGGTTCTTGATTAGCAAAATCTATTTTTATTAGTGCAAAAGAAACACCACAGCTTATAAAGTATTATGAATTCAATAAATGGAGTCTTAACTAATGAGATATTATTTTCTAGAATGGTGTAGCTGAGAGTATGTGTGATTCAACTGAAAGGAATAATGTTTAATCAGTGACTCTTACTATATACAGGAAAAGGTGCAGTTCTGTCTTTCAAATCTGCCTCCTTACCATATTGGCTTACATCCCTCATGCTGTTTTCTTGTGTTTGCTAGAAAGTTGTTGCCAAGCCAAATGTCATGGCCATGTTGAAGGCAAGGAAGAAAAAATGGAAATGGCCTGTGCCAGCTATATATATCGCCTTTTATGAGGGAAAGCAAAGCTTTCTCAGAAATCCCAAATGGATTTTCCCTTGACTTAATTGCCTGACCAGTTAAATGGCCACTGGTACCTGCAAAGAAAGCAGGGTACATAGCTGTCCCAAATAAAATCAGTATTAGCAAGAAGAAAGAATATTGAGAAAGCAATTAACAGTGTCTGTGACTGTGACATGTCTGTGACTTTATATTGTCAAGTCCTTTCCCCTTGAATATAGTTTTGGAAGAATTAGCTGAAGGAGTGTGTTGACATTGAATGGCCAAGAGAATGGGCTGTAGCAGACATCTGTCATTTCTCTTTTGGCTGCCCAGTATCCTAACTCCTGTGTTTAAGGAATCCCTCACCTAATGAGGCAGAGCATTTCTTCCTCCTAAAGAATTTGAAAGTACCAGGTAATGTTTTCTCAGCCTCCTTTTGCAGCTAAGGAAGAAACATCTGCCTTCAATTTTAAAATTAGTGATACAAAGAAGGAGGGAACCATGCAGATTCCTTTGAAGATGGTGATTAACAACACTACTGCATTCATCTCCACAGAGGTACAGCAAAAGTGATTTAGTTAGCGATAACCTCTAATTCTATTTTTTTATTTTTATTTTTTGAGACAGTCTTGCTCTGTCAACCAGGCTGGAGTGCAGTAGCACTGTCTTAACTCACTGCAACCTCCACCTCCTGGGTTCAAGCGATTCTCCTGCCTCAGCCTCCCAAGTCGCTGGGATTACAAGTGCCCACCACCATGCACAGCTAATTTTTGTGTTTTTAGTAGATGGGGTTTCTCCATGTTGGCCAGGCTGGTCTCGAACTTATGACTTCAGGTGATCCGCCCGCCTTGGCCTCCCAAAGTGCTGGGATTATAGGCGTGAGCCACTGTGCCTGGCCTGTAACCTCTAATTCTTGTTTGCTGGCTGTCCTAGAGATCCTGAGAATTACTTTTAATAAAATCATTTTTTTGCTGTTATTAAAACTAACCTGAATTGCCTAAAACCAAGAACTCTGCTTGATAAAATAAGCATAGTTTTAGGAACAGCCATGCAGATATAAATTTTATCAACACTTTATACATAATTTGGGACTTATATTTAAATGTAATATTTGATGCTTATAAAAGGGTAAATGGGGAATGCAAATAAATTATCAAGCATAATAACTCATCACCTAACTTAAGAATAACATTATGAGTGCTTGTATTTTATCTATTTGAGCTCTTCTCCTATCTTTGCCGACCCCCCCGCTCTCTTTTTAATAGATTTGTTCGAATGTAGAAAGACCTAAAATACATATGTATCCCTAAAGTGACTTATTTTATAGTTTTCTTTCTTTTTGAACTTCAAAAAAATTGTATCATACTCTATGTAGTCTAAGGATTTGGTTTTTTTCACTCAACATGTCTCTAGAATTCACAAGTTTTATTGTTTTATAGCTGTCATTTTCATTGATGTATATTTCATTGTTGGGTTATACAACATATTGTTAAGGAATACATACATATATAATAAATTATACATTTTTTAAAAAAATCCTTGCTAATATTTTACTTACTAATTTTTAATTCTCCCTTCCTGTGTCTCATTTATATTAAACACATTTAACTATAAGATGACGTATTTCACATTCTGCAGTTATTTCACTGATAATATCTCATGGCAACTTTCAGAGTGAATTAAGGGGTATTATCTGCTAATATAGGAAAAAGCAGATAATGCTTTTTGTTTTGTCACTCCTGTAATGCTGAAGAGGAGGCAGAACCTTCAGAGTTTCAATTAGCTACAACTTCACTCAAAATTTCATCTAGGCTCGTATAAATATGTGTGGAACTAATTGATGAATGTTTGTATGTTACTGATTGTAACATTCATTTCTATTTCTTATTTTAACATCTTTGATATTGGGATATGTCTTACACAGGTACAGGTTCCGATGTGGTTGATTGTAAGCATATACAAAATTGGTTTGCACTTATGGTGGATGACTGGACAAAGGCAATCTGAATATTTCAGTCAAACTCAGGACCATGTGAAAAAAGAACATGGGTTTTGGCCATTTTCTGTTCTTTCCATTGACACCTTTTTATCAAGAGTGTGCCACCACACAAATTTGGAGTATGGCTGGCTGTATTAGTTTTCTACTGCTATATAACAAATTACCACAAATAACAGTTTAGAGCAACATCCACGTATTATCTCACAGTTCTGTAGGTCTGAAGTCCATGCAGGGCTCAAATGGGTTCTCCTCTCTTGCACTCACAAGGCTAAAATCAAGGTGTCAGCTGAAGCCAGCATCCCGTATGAGGCTCCAGTCTCTCTCCCACGTTCACGTAATTATTGACAAAATCCATTTCAGTACAGCTCTACAACTAGAAGACTCTCTTCAAGGGCAACAGGAAATATCTCTGACTTCTTGTCTCCCACCTCTAGACTCCTTTTTTTTTTTTTTTTTTGAGACGGAGTTTCGCTCCCGTTGTCCTGTTGCCCAGGCTGGAGTGCAATGGCGTGATCTCAGTTCACTGCAACCTCCACCTCCCGGGTTCAAGCAATTCTCCTGCCTTAGCCTCCCGAGTAGCTGGGATTACAGGCATGTGCCACCATGCCCGGCAAATAGACTCCCTTTTAAGAATACACCTAAGTCAGGTCCAACCAGAATATCTCCCTCTTGATTAACCCAACTGATTAGAGATCTTAATTATATCTGCAGTAATCCCTTTGCCATAAAAGAGATATAAGTGATACAGCTTCTCGTATCCACGTTTCACCTATGCTTAAGATGGGATGATACAAGACACGTACGACACCAGTGGGAATCTTGGTGGCCAGCTTGGAATTCTACCTACTCCAGTGGCTTTTAGCAGCTCAGAATAAAATCCTGGAAACCATGAAGCACTCTTTGAGGAAATGCTACATTATCAGTGTTCTTGGTGGGCTCAAAATAATTCTATGTGGGAAAACCTGGATATCTATGAACCAGAAAGATTCAGCAAGATGCACCAATGAATAGTGGGCTAAAATTTAAGCAAAAACAGGATATTTATATACGTTTGCGTTAGTTCCTAGAGTTGCCATTACAAATGAACTCAAACTGGGTGGCTTAAAACAAATTTATTCTTTCGTAGTCCTGGAGACTAGAAGTCTCAGGGAGAATGTGTTCCATGCCCCTCTCCTAGCTTCTGGGGTTGCTGGCAATTCCTGTTCCCTGATTTCTAGATGTATCACTTCAATCTCTTGTCTTCATATGGCATTCTCCCTGCATGTCTCTAGTCAGTGTATAAAATTCTCTCTTCTAAGGACGCTACTCATTGGATTCAGGCCCACTCTAATCCAGTATGACTTTATCTTAACTTGATTACCTCCACAAAGGCCCTATTTCTAAATAAGGTCATATTCTAAGGTTCTGGGTGGGAATGAATTTAGGGGGGACACTATTCAATTCAGTACATTACCAAAGCATTGCCCTGCCCCCAAATACTCACTAATTACAAAGGGAAAAGTAGTAATTTTACAATGGAGAATCCTGGCAGACATCAACTGATTAAGGTAAACATCATTAATAATACACTTCAATGGCTGGACAAGGTGGCTCACACCTGTAATCCCAGCACTTCGGGAGGCCGAGGTGGGTGGATCACCTGAGGTCAGGAGTTCAAGACCAGCCTGGTCAACATGGTGAAACCCCGTCTCTACTAAAAATGGAAAAATTAGCCGGGCGTGGTGGTGGGCGCCTATAATCCCAGCTACTTGGGAAGCTGAGGTGGGAAGATTGCTTGAACCCAGGAGGTGGATGCTGCAGTGAGTCGAGATCATGCCACTGTACTCCAACCTGAGCGACAAGCGTGACCTCATCTCAATAATAATAATTGTAATAATACACTTCAACATTATATACCCCTGATATTGAGCAATGATAGGCACATAACCTCTGTAGTGTTCCAAATAATGTATAACCTCAATCTAATCAAGAGAAAACATCAGACAAAACCAAATTGAGGGAAATCTGCAAAATAGCTGACTGATACTGTTTTAAAGTATATATATAGAGAGAGAGAGAGAGTCAGTGTCTCACTCTGTTGCCCAGGCTCACTGCAACCTCTACCTCCTGAGTTCACTCCGCTCAATGCAACCTCTACCTCCTGAGTTCAAGCAATTCTAGAGCCTCAGCCTCCAGAGTAGCTGAGATTGCAGGGGCCTGCCACCACGCCCAGCTAATTTTTGTATTTTTACTAGAGACGGGGTTTCACCATGTTGGCCAGGCTGGTCTCAAACTCCTGACATCAAGTGATCCGCCCGCCTCGGCCTCCCAAAGTGCTGGGATTACAGCCATGATCCGTCACACCCAGCCTGTTTCAGTGTTAAAGTTGTAAAAGACAAAGACTAAAGAACTGTCATAGAAGGGAGACAAAGGAGACATAAAAACTAAATGCAGTGTGGGATCCTAGATTTGATCCTGGAGGAGAAAATGGACATTGTTGGAATAACTGGTGCAGCCCAAATTAATTTTGTATTTCAAGTCATATTATCATGTCAAAGTTGATTTCCTAGTTTTGAAAATTGTTCTATAGTTATGTAAGGTTAAAATAGGAGAAGCAAGTACAGAGTTTATGGAAACTTTCTGTACTATTTTTCTACCTCTTCTGTAAGTGTAAAAATCTAAAAAAAAAAAGTTCATCCCCCTGATTTCTAATGAGGCTGGGTATAATTTCAAGTATTTGCCTATACAGGTTTTAAAAAAAATATGGACCTTCAAGTATTTTCTCCATTTTCCTTTTCTTTCCTTTTGGCTTTTTCTTATTAATGTATTATATATTCATGATACCAATACATTTTTTATATAATGCAAATATACTAGTCTGTTGATTTTTTAAACTTTTTTATGTTGCCTCATGATGAATGGAATTTTTAAAATATGGTCAAATTTATTACTGAAAAGAAAGAGATTCAGAAGAGTTAGACTTTGTGAAGAAGTTTTAGGAATACCTTAACAAATTTATTTTGCCATTTTTTTTTTTTTTTACTTCATATACACACAAAAGGGAGACATGATTTAAATCTATGTCTAGGCAGGGCACAGGTGGCTCATTCCTGTAATCCCAGTACTTTGGAAGGCTGAGGCAGGAGGACTGCTTGAGCCCAAGAGTTCAAGACCAGCCTGGGCATCGCAAAACCCCATTTCTACAAAAAAATACAAAAATTAGCCAGGCGTGGTGGTGCATGCCTATAGTCCCAGCTACTCAGGTGGCTGAGGCAGGAGGATTGCTTGAGCCTGGGAGATGGAGGCTGCAGTGAGCTGAGATCATGCCACTGCAATCCACCCTGGACAACAGACTGAGACCCTGTCTCCAAAAAAAAAAAAAGTTTAAAATAGCCCTTTCAATAAATATAAAAATTCTAAGTAGTGAAAGTTTTATTTCATAATTGTATTAGTCAGTTCTCGTGCTGCTATAAGGACATACCCGAGACTGGGTAATTTATAAAGAAAAGAAGTTTAATTGACTTTCAGTTCTGAAAGGCTGGGGAGGCCTCAGGAAACTTACAATCATTGCAGAAGGGGAAACAAACACGTCCTTCACATGGTAGCAAGGAGAATGAGTGCTGACAAAAGGGGGAAAAGCCCCTTATAAAACCATCAGATAGGCTGGGAGTGGTGGCTCATGCCTGTAATCTCAGCACTTTGGGAGGACGAGGTGGGTGGATCACTTGAGGGCAGGAGTTCAAAACCAGCCTGATCAACATGGTGAAAGCCCATCTCTAGTAAAAAAAAAAAAAAAAAAAAAAAAAAAAAAAAAAAAAAACTCAAAATTAGCTGGGCGTGGTGGTACACACCTGTAATCCCAGCTATTTGGGAGGCTGAGGCAGGAGAATTGCTTGAACCCAGGAGGCCGAAGTTGCAGTGAGCTGAGATCGTGCCATTGCACTCCAGCCTGGGCAACAAGAGCAGAACTCCGTCTCAAAAATAAATAAATAAATAAATACAAATAAAACCATTAGATATTGTGAGAACTCACTCACTATCATGAGAACAGTGGCACAGGGGTAACAGCCCCCATGATTCAATTACCTCCCATCAGGTTCCTCCCACGACATGTGGACATTATGGGAACTACAATTCCAAATGAGATTTGGGTGAGGACACAGCCAAACCACATCACTCCGCCTATGACCCCTCCCGAATCTCATATCCTCATATTTCAAAACATGATCTTGCCTTTCCAACAGTCCTCCAAAGTCTTAGCTCATTCCAGCATTAACCCAAAAGTCCAAGTCCAAAGTCTCATCTGAGACAAGGCAAGACCCTTCCCTTATGAGCCTATAAAATCAAAAGCAAGTTAGTTACTTCCTAGATACAATGGCGGTACAGGCACTGGGTAAATATACCCTTTCCAAATGGGAGAAATTGGCCAAAACGAAGGGGCAATAGTCCCCATGCAAGCCTAAAATCCATTACACCAATCATCAAACCTTAAAGTTCCAAAATGATTTCCTTCGTCTGACTTGATGTCTCATATCTAGGTCACATTGATGCAAGAGGTGGGCTCCCACAACCTTGGGCAGCTCCACCCCTGTGGCTTTGCAGGGTACAGCCCCCCTCCCAGCTGCTTTCACAGCTGGCGTTAGGTGTCTGCAGCTTATCCAGGCATACGGTGCAAGCTGTCAGTGGATCTACCATTCTGGGGTTTGGAGGATGATGGCCCTCTTCTCACAGCTCCATTAGGCAGTGTCCAGTGGGGACTCTGTGTGGGGGCTCCAACCCCACATTTCCCTTCTTCACTCCCCTAGCAGAGGTTCCCCATGAGGGCTCCACCTCTACAGCCAACTAATGCCTGGACATCAAGGCATTTCCGTACATCCTCTGAAATCAAGGCGGAGGTCCCCAAACCTCAATCCTTGACTTCTGCACACTCACAGGCCCAACACCATGTGTCAGCTGCCAAGGCTTGGGGCTTGCACCCTCTGAAATAATGGCCTGAGCTGTACCTTGGCCCCTTTTAGCCACAGCTGGAGTTGAAGTAGCTGGGACTTAGGACACCGTGTCCCAAGGCTGCACATATCCCAAGGCTGCACAGAGCAGGGGGTCTTGGGCCTGGCTCAGGAAACTATTTTTCCTTCCTTGGCCTCCAGGCCTGTGATGGAAGGGGCTGCCATGAAGGTCTCTGACATGCCCTGGAGACATTTTCCCCATTGTCTGGATGATTAGCATTTGTCTCCTCATTACTTACGCAAGTTTCTACAGCCAGCTTGAATTTCTCCCCAGAAAATGGGTTTTTCTTTTCTACTGCATCATCAGGCTGCAAATTTTCTAAACTTTTATGCTCTGCTTCCCTTTTAAATACAAGTTCCAATTCCAAACCATATATTTGTGAATGCATAAAACTGAATGCTTTTAAGAGCACCCAAGCCACCTCTTCAATGCTTTGCCACTTAGAAACCTCTTCCATTAGATACCCTAAATTCTCTCTCTTAAGTTCAAAGTTCCACAGATCTCTAGGATAGGGGCAATATGCTGCCAATCTCTTTGCTAAAGCATAGCAAGAATCACCTTTATTCCAGTTCCCAACAAGTTCCTCATCTCCATCTGAGACCACTTCAGCCTGGACTTCATTGTCCATATTATTATCGGCATTTTAGTTCCAAACTTTCCCACATCTTCCTGTCTTCTGAGTCCCCAATTCTCTAGGAATTTCCAAACCTTCCCACATTTTCTTCTTCTGAGCCCTCAAAACTGTTCCAGACTCTACCTGTTACCAGTTCCAAAGTCGCTTTCACATTTTCGGGTATCCTTATAGCAGTGACCCACTAACTCCTGGTACCAATTTGTTGTGTTAATTCATTCTCATACTGCTATAAGGACACACCCAAGACTGGGTAATTTATAAAGGAAAGAAGTTAAACTGACTCACAGTTCAGCTTGGCTGGGAAGGCCTCAGGGAACTTATGATCATGGTGGAAGGGGAAGCAAACATATCCTTCTTCACTTGGTGGCAGGAAGGAGAATGAGTGCTGAGCAAAGGGGGGAAAGCCCCTTATAAAACCATCAGATCTTATGGGAACTCACTATCACAAGAAAAGGAGCATGAGGGTAACTGCCCACATGATTCAATTACCTCCCATTGGATCCCTCCCATGACATGTGGGGATTATTCGAACTACAATTCAAGATGAGATTCAGGAGAGGACACAACCAAACCATATCAATAATGAAAATGGCTACATATTTTCTTCTAGAGCTTTAGGGTTATTTTATTTATTTATTTATTTTTAAATTATACTTTAAGTTCTAGGGTACATGTGCACAACGCGCAGGTTTGTCACATATGTATACATGTCCCATGTTGGTGTCCTGCACCCATTAATTCGTCATTTACACTAGGTATATCTCCTAATGCTATCCTTCCCCCCCTCCCCCATCCCACGACAGGCCCTGGTGTGTCATGTTCCCCTTTCTGTGTCCAACTGTTCTCATTGTTCAATTCCCACCTATGAGTGAGAACATGCGGTGTTTGGTTTTTTGTCCTTGCGATAGTTTGCTGAGAATGATGGTTTCCAGCTTCATCCATGTCCCTACAAAGGACATTAACTCATCTTTTTTTATGGCTGCATAGTATTCCATGGTGTATATGTGCCACATTTTCTTAATCCAGTCTATCATTGATGGACATCTGGACTGGTTCCAAGTCTTTGCTATTGTGAATAGTGCTGCAATAAACATATGTGTGCATGTGTCTTTATAGCAATGGCTACATATTTTCTTATTAGTAATCCATAAATGATGACCTACCATACAATCACTACTGCCTTGGATTCAATAAAATAAGTGAAATTTACTCATTCAATGAATATTGTTTAAGTATTTACTGTATACGTAAGTCACTGTGCCAGGTTTTGGGGATACAATGATGAACTAGAGAATTGAAGCTTATGCTGTAGTTCAGAGGGATGAGCAATAAACAAATGGAAACTGATAGTTTAGTGGGTACTTTTACTTTAGAAAAGGCCTTTGTAAAGTGGTTAACATTTGACCTGAAATCTGAATGATGAGAAAGTGCCCAAAGATTTGGGCTAGAACATTCCAGGCAGAGACAACAGTAAATTCATGGGCCTTGAAGTAGGAACAAACTTACAATATAGGAAGAACCAGTTAACCAGGGGTTAGAGAATTTGGTGGGGACTATATCATTCAGGGCCTTGAAGAGCACAGTAAAAGAGTTTGGATTTATGTTAAATACAATTGGATTTCATCAGGATTCAGTTTAAGTTAAATTATAAATATTCTGTTGCTCTACCCTTCCCTCTATTAACTGACTCCCAGAGCTACAATGTTAGATGGTTACTTTTGGTGCAGCATTTTAGCATGTCCACATAATTATCCTATTAAGTGCAATTTTAACATTTTAAAGGGAAGCATTATATAAAGCTTTTGCATTCTTATTTAAATTCTAATATTTTATTACATTAGTGGTATTATGTTATTCTTATTTATATAATGCCCTTTAACTGTTTAGAGGCTGGTTAAAGAATAAAAAGTTTTGGGTTGTAGGCCTATAGGACCAAATCTTAATTATTTACATTAATTCTTATGGAAATAATTCTTCTTTATGAATGTTTTTGCTCTAGAAGTATTATTTCTGTTCTGAAACCTTGGATGTGGACCTCTTTACCATGCACTATTATCATAATTTTATCTTATTTAATGAAATATTTTTTAAGACCTTGTCTCATTCTGTTGCCCAGGCTGAAGTGCAATAGCACGATTATGGCTCACTGCAGCCATGACCTCCCAGGCTTAAGCAGTCTTCCCATCTCAGCCTGCTGAGTAGCTGGGACCACACATGCATCACCATGCCTGGCTAATTTTCAATTTTTTTGTAAAGACGGGGTTTCGCTACATTGCCCAGTCTGGTCCGGAACTCCTGAGCTCAAGCGATCCTCCCACCTTGGCTTCTAAAGTCTGGGATTACAGTTGTGAGCCACCGTGCCCAGCCTATCATAATTTTATAAAAGAAGATCCTCTTTAGTTTCCCTAAACAGGGAGGACATGTCAGAATAAAAACAACTCTTAAAATCTGGAATAAATTTAGCCTTATTTAATTTTTTTAAAAAAGCTCTATATTGACCTAATTTTTCTCATTCGACAGAGAAATGACAAAAATCTCACCCACCGCTGCTCAAGAAAACCTTACAAACTGTAAGAAATGCTTACTTTTGATTCTAAAGTAGACTTCAGAGATAATGTACTTATTGATGATTGTAGAGGGAAAAAAAGCACACAATCATTATCAATTTCATTGTCTAAGTTTTTCAGAGTAGAAAACTAAATATGATGAATAACTAAAAATAATTTCTCAAATTTTTTTCTGATGGTTCCTTAACAGACTATCTTCCCAAAATCCATGTCACCCTGTTGCATAGGAGATGGTTTTCCAAAGTGATTTAACAAGTTTCTGATTTAATTTAAAAAAAAACATAAAAAGATAACCACATTTTTTCAGTTTTTGATTTGACTTCAAAATTCATCTGAAAAAAATCATTATGTAGTGATCTAATAATGAAACCTACTTCTGTTTGTGGGTTTTACTTGTAGAAACAGTAAATCATTTTAACTTGTGATTTATATCAAATTGTTCCACCTGTTACTTTCTTTAATGCATTAGAAGCTAAAATGTATATTTCTCGGTTTATACAGACTGCATTTTGTGTTAAATGTAAATTGATATTAATTTTGGAACAAGGAGGAATTTAAAGGAATTTAAAGACAATTGGGATATATTCAGAATGATGATGATGAAATGATTATATAATTAAAGAAGGTTTTCAGAAGCTATGTGTAATGGTAGAAATCAAGGCTTTATCCTTCCTTATTAATAGTAATTGTATTGATATAATTTAGTAAGACTTTTTTTTTTTTACATTTCCTATTGCTGTGATATTTGAGAATGTATACTAAAAGTAGAATTACCTAATTACCTAATTAGTTTCACATGACCTCATATCTAGCGCAAGAGCCTGGTACAGTTTCTCTATAACATTAGATTAGAATACACAGACCAGCTGTATTGCAGGAAGGGGAGATCTCGATTTAAGAACTGGGTGAATTAAACAAAACAGCTGGTTTGAAATATTTACATTCTGGGCCAGGCGTGGTGGCTCATGCCTGCAATCCCAGCACTTTGGTAGGCCGAGGTGGGCGGATCACCTGAGGTAAGGAGTTGGAGACCAGCCTGACCAACATGGAGAAACTCTGTCTCTACTAAAAATACAAAATTAGGTCGGGTGCGGTGGCTCATGCCTGTAATCCCAGCACTTTGGGAGGCTGAGGCGGGTGGATCACGACATCTGGAGTTCGAGACCAGCCTGGCCAACATGGTGAAACCCTGTCTCTACCAAAAATACAAAAATTAGCCGGGTGTGGTGGTGCACGCCTGTAATCCCACCTACTCAGGAGGCTGAGGCAGGAGAATTGCTTGAACCCGGGAGGCGGAGGTTGCAGTGAGCTGAGATCATGCCATTGCACTCCAGCCTAGGCAACACGAGTGAACTCCATCTGAAAAAAAAAAAAATTTACATTCTGTAGTTTCCCAGAAATATATTCCAATTTCTAACAACTTATCATACTGTTGTCCAGTGCTATTTATTCAACAAGCTTTTGAGAGTTGTTGAGAGCGGGCACTGTCAACAACCAGGGATGCAAAGATGAATTTCATAAGCTCTGTGCTAGAGTATTACTACCTAGTAAAAACTAATAATTACAATAGAGTGAGCTATGAAAGCATTGAAAATGAAGCAAATATTTGTGCTTAGGAAAGCGTGGGAAGGCATCAAAGAGAGCAAAAAGGCAGTTTTGAGGTGTTATACATGGGACTGGACACCAGCAACAAAGGTGGTGAGGAAATTTTTGAACAGAAATGGGACACGGCCTCCTCTTAGAATTCAAGAGGTTGAATTGAAGGTTGTCTTTCCTTCATTGCACTTATTCCAATGTGTATGTTTAGATTTGTTTTTGTGATCATCAATGATGCTAGACTAAAAGTTCCTTGAGGACAAGTCTATATCCGATTTTCTTTACAACTGTATACTTCCCAGTGGTTACACATACAACATGTCAAATAAATGTGTTGTAAGCAAAAAGTGGGTAGGAGAGTTCTCAGAAGACTGGCTGCTCATTATTTATCCAATACTGTCAAGTGAGAGAGCCAGTGAATCTGTGAAAACAGAAGCATTGAATCTGGGAAAAGCATTCCTCTCACCAGAGGAGCATGCTCTACTGTCTGGCAGGGGATAATCCATTGAACTTCCTGTGGTCATAATTACCCATTTTTCTCCTTCCTTCTTCCCCCATTGGATGAATCATCTCTTTGCTCTTATTTCAACCTTTTAATTACTGATCCACCCTCTTTGATTACCTGACACAACAGGAATATCTTTCGTAACTTGAAAGGTCAGTTGACTGAATTTGTTTCATTTTGTTTAGTGATTATGCAGCCTTGCTCACTCTTGTGCATCTGTTGCAATGTTTTTCGTGGAAAACAAAGGTCTCATTTAGATTTCTAAATTACCTTGCTACAAAGCTGACTCTATACTAATGAAATTCCTCTAAAACAGTAGACGTAAGAAAGAATGCTTGCACTATAAGAAGAAACGAGTGTGAGGTCCTTCCGGATTTTTGCTGGGAAAAGATAAATCATTTTTTATGACTCCTGAATATGCCATCAGAATTGTTGGCCTTCAAGGTTTACCCCATTATTGTGGGCTAAAACGTATTCAAACGCTCGAAGACTAGAGACGCCTAAAGCCACCCGCCACCCCTAGTGTCCAGGAGGAGTCAGTAAACACCGAGATTGCTTCCCGCAGCACACCCAAGAAGGAATGTAATGTAATGCAGCCACCATGTTGGTTGTGGTTAAGTGCAGCAAACTGCTTGGCGTCACTTAGCCCTGCTGCGCAAGCGTGTTGAGAGTACGCTTCACTCCGCCCCTTCTCGTGCACGCGCCCGGAGCCCGCAACTCTCGCGAGAGAAGCGAGATTTATTCCTACGTACCGGGCCGTGCTGCTTATGGCGGCGCTGGAGAGGGGGCGCTGAGCTGTTGGGGTGAGTACGACCTCAGGGTCCAACTGGGGGTAGCAGAAACCCAGGGGAAGGGCTGAGAATAAGACCAAGGCTAACGAGAAGCCTTCTGAGTCAAGGTGGGCACTCGTAGAGCTCTAGGTGGGGAAGAATGCACCCCGATTCCCTGCCCTGGGCTTTTTCATACGTCTCCCGTTCAACTGCCTGGGCCTCATGTCAGGTCGCAGAGCTGAAACGAGGAGTTGAGGCCAGCCGGCTGCGCGTGGTGGTAGTGGTGGTGGTGACTAAAGTGGGGGGAGGGAGCGAAAATGGAGGCTCCGACAGCAGCCAAGATGGAGGCAGAGGGTGCGGGGCTCGGGCGCGGAGGCTGCTGGGATCTGTAGTCTGGCTGCTTCCCCATCTGCGGCTTGTCTGGGGAAACGGGAACTACATGTCCCGGCGGGCGGGGCGAGGGGGTGGTGGCGCGGTCCTTTGTGTGAGGTTGGAAGAGCCTGAGACCGAGAAGAGGGGCCTACTTTGACTCTGGACCCTGTAGTTTCCTGGCCGTTACCTGCTTGGGAATCTGACTACCAGTACCAGAGCGCAGTGCGGCAGTGGCGCCTTCTTTGTGTATAGACTGAGACCCTGCTCCATCTAGATATCTTAGGGGAAGTGTTTAAAGACACCTTTCCCCAGCCACATCTGGCACAGTAGTGTGGCGGAATTGACATCGTTACTCCAGTCACCTAGAGCAGGGTCTCAGCACCCAACCTTCCCCTCATTGTCTCCCCTTCGGCGTCTTGAGAAAGGGAACCAGTCCCTAATCTTTTAGGCACGTGGCTCCCACCCCTCTATCTTGGGGAATGGGCGTGCGCCCTGAAAGCTCAGTAGTGTCCTCCCTTCCACCTCCTGTAGTTCTCATGGTGCCAGCGCCTGGCCCACCCACATTGTGCAATGAACGGCCTGGCTTCGTCATTCTATGTAGAATGTTTTAGAGTTCCCCCGTCGGAGACAGCTTCAAATTTTTGCCATGCTATTTTATCAATACGAAATCTTAGTGCCAAGGTTCTTTTGCTTTAAGGTTTTCCCTTAGAAACACCCAGATGGCGGCCGTCTTGCTTAACTCACAGGTGAAGCAGAGAACGCTCCCTGAAACAGGCTTGAATCTGCAAAGAATATCTGAACGTTGTTGGGCAAGTTAATTTTCGTGTTTTGCACCTTAAATGAGTAAAAGAATATGGCGCTCTTTAAACAGTTGGGAGACAGGGCGGAGAGGGAGAATGCTCAAAGGCACTGTGGTAGTTAAATCTTTTTGAGAGGCTTAAATTTTCATCAGGCTGGTATGAACTGGCAGTTCTCAGCCACTGCTACTAACCTACTTTTTTAGAATGTAGGTTTCAAATTATAGCCCACAGATATAAGCTACTCTATACTAAAATGCTGAGTAATTTTCATTTTGAGTAACTAAAGGCAAACATTCTTGATATTGCATTGAGGAGCACTATAATACATACCTTGGTTTTCTTTTGGTACTAACCAATAATGGATATCCTTGGTGTGGGTAAGGAGGGGCTTTATATACTTCAGTAGGGATATACCTGAGTCATAAAACTTAGATAAATATTTGGCCTTCTTTTTGTTTCGTTTTAGCCCTGGGACTAAAATAAAAGAGAAGGTAATAGTTTGGTTTTGCAGCTGTTCTGGATGTTTACCATCGAGATGATTATTTATAGCAGCTGAGTTGAAAACTAAAGTATTTGAGGCACAGAAGATAGGTTTTCTTTTTTTGTAAGTACTGACTTAAGTGTGACCTTTAGCGAGTGTGGGTGAAAATCTGGTAAAGTCCTAGCAAATCAAAATTGAAAGCGTGAAAGCTGACGTGCAGTCTGGCTTTACCCTCTACCCTTATTTTCCCTTCTCCCCACCTGAAGACACATCGTGTAGGGCCATCGATTTTTGTTTTAAACAAACAAAATGCTAAAATATCAAATTATGCTGGAGCATTCATAACATGAAATTTAGTGTTCCAGTGTTTTTCATTGTACAGTTCAGTGGCACTAAGTCTATTGAAACTGTTGTGAGAGCCATACTTTCGACAAGGTAGTTAAAACATGGAAATTTTGGAACGATGTTCTTTTGGACAGATTTTTGAGGAGTTGAATTTCAGGACTGTATTGCAAAATGAGATAAAAATCTTGATCTTGTTAAGTAAACACAAAGAATTGATGTGCCTTCTTCTTAGCTTTGTCCTTGCAGAAAACAGAAGAGGAAGCACTTTGAGATCTATTTTGTAAGCTTTAATAGCTAGACTGTTGTAAGTGGTGAAACTACTATGGTGAGAGTGACTTGCTGTTAAATCCCTTCTGCCCAGTCAGGATTTTAAAAAGTCCTTTGTTTTGATATTAGAATGTTTTCCACTTGCATGTGTGGGTACCTAGTTAAAAACAACACAAAACTTTTTAATATTTTAATGTCCTTTTATGCTGAGGTAAAACAGTGTGTGGCTGAAAATTATCAGTTTCCCCTATGTTGCACATGTAAGCTATCCGTTGATTTGCAGCTACAGCCGGTACATAACCAGTTATTTGCACTTCTTTTTCTCCAATTTATTAACAACAAGCTTCTATGCTAGATACTGCCTACTTTTATTAGTGAAAATCTTTGCTCAAGACCCTTACATTTACTTCCTGTTGCTAATTGGCACAATAGTGCTTTTTTAGACCCCTGCTCAGTTTATACCTACTCTGTGGAACATGGTAGCCGCCAGCCACGTGTGGCTGTTGTGCACTTGAAGTGTGACTAGTTTGAATTGAAATGTGCTGTGATTGTATAATAACATTGGATTTCAAGGAATGTAACAGTGTCAATTTTTTTACATTGATTGCCTGTAGAGAATAACATTTTGGATATAATTGGTTAAATAAGACGTTTAATTAAAATTCCTTCTGTTTCTTTTGACTGTAATATGGTTACTAGAATTATAATTACACTGTATTTCTGTTGGAAACTGCTGGTCTGTGGTGTTTTCTGATGTGTCTAGAATGTTTCTTCAGCATCTTCCCACACTGCCATTTGTCCTGCTTAAAACTATTAGGTTTCTGGGTGTATATATAAGCAGTTAAGTGATAGATAATTTTAAATATCTCAGTAGCTGTTTAGATAATTAATCCAGCACAGTTGTTACTACACAGATACAAAAAGATAGTTGTGTCAGTTTGATTTTTTATTTTTACTCAACAGATGACTTAGGTTGGTTAATTATCTAGAGTTTATCGTTTACCTTAGATCCTAAAGTAAAAATGAATTAAGACCTATTAAGCACTTCAGTTATAAAATGTGGTGCTCAATGAAATGTCAGGCAATAGAGAAACTTTTCAGTCCTATGCTACCTATTTGGGTCTTTGTTTTTTCCTGCCTAAAAGAAGATACTGCCTAAAGGAAGTGGGTTAGGTGAGCAGACTTTTGTAGACTGGCTTAGCCTTTCATTAACTTTTCCCGAAGTGAGTGCTGCACATACTTTCAAAATAATAAACTAGGTAGTGTGATACATTTTAGATGGATTACTTACCACATAAATGTGTTAGTTTAACCTCTTCATTTAGTGCCGACTATGTCATGGCTTATGCTAGGCCTTTGAGGTAAAACAGCCGAGGAAGACATGAAATAAAACAGGTGGTGGCCAGGTGCAGTGGCTCACGCCTGTAATCCCAGCACTTTGGGGGGCTGAGGCAGGTGGGTCACTTGAGGTCAGGAGTTCGAGACCAGCCTGACCAACATGGTGAAACCCCATCTGTGCTAAAAATACAAAAATTAGCCAGCCAGGCCTGGTGGTACACGCCTGTAGTCCCAGCTACTGGGGAGGCTGAGGCAGGAGAATCGCTTGAACCCGGGAGGTGGAGATTGCAGTGATTAAGTAATAATACTATTTCCATGCTGAGCAAAGGGAAAAGGAGTTGATTACTTAGCACACAGTATGATTCTCAGATACACATTTAAATTGTTCCCTAGTGTTTTTATTGGTACCCTATGGTGGGTTTGTGGGGGCGATTGTTTTGAGTCAGCGTCTTACTCTGTCGCCCAGGCAAGAGTGCAGTGGCACAGTCATAGCTCACTGCAGCCTCAAACTCCTGGATTCAAGTGATCCTCCTGCCTCAGCTTCCCGAGTAGCTGGGACTACAGGTGCATGCCACCACACCCAGTGAATTTATTTTTTATTTCTAAAATTTTTTGTAGAGACAGCATCTCACCATGTTGCCCAGGCTGGTCTCAGACAATCCTCCCACCTTGGCCTGCCACAGTGCTGGGGATTACAAGCGAGAGCCACCACCCCAGCCCAATACCCAGTGTTTCATGCAACTTAAGTTTCAAGCTTTTAGGGGGATGGAGGAGATGCACTTGTGTTCCTAGGGTTAAGGCAAAAGAGGTGGTTAGTAGCACCAATTAATGTTAATCCGGGCATGAGTGGATAGCTATTTATATTAAACTGCCTGACCAATACCTTTAAGTTCTTCAGTAAGTGTTAATTTAATTGAAAAACATTTAGTTAACTATAGAAGCTGTGAAGATGTTAATTCGGCCAGTAAATTATTCATGACTGTTGGTGGGTTCGTTTGAGCTTTAATAGCTCCTAATAGACCTCATTAGTGCCTAAGAATGGCCCTGCAGTACTCCAGAGTTTCAGTTCCAGAAATCTCTTTTTTTGTGTTACTGAATCTTGGACTTGACAGTTCTTAATGTGATACGACAACCTGGAATGGGTTAATCCAGTTCAAGTGTTTCAAGATAACTTGTTTTCTCCATGTTGAGTTCTTTGGGTTCATTAATACACCTAAAGCATTAAGATAAAACCAATATACACAGTCTGTATTTTTTAAAGAAGAGATTATTTCTTGATTGGATAATTAAAACTATATAATTAAAGGTGGTATAACTGTTTACACTTGAATTGTGGCATAACTGTTTACACTTGAATTGTGGCGTCCTTTTGCTTATTAAGGATTAACTACCTTTTTCCTTTGGTTGTATATGGCAGCACTGGATTAGGTGCGAAAGGAGGCTGTGATAAAGAAATTTGAGTTTACCTCTCAGAAATTTGAAATAGAATTGGAGGAACAAGATACATAAAAACATGAAGTAAACAAAGTACAGAAATTGCTTGGTATCACTTGCTGCAAATTGCTTGGTGCAGGCAGTGGATGTTACTGCCCCATTCATTAGTAGGAATTAATGAATGAGTCTGCTGGAATGGTCAAGAAAGGCTTTTTTGTCACCTTGAAGATCACAACATAGTATTTTTTTGTGGGAAGACCCATATAAGCAAAGGTGGCTAGAATTCAGGAATCTCCCAAGAGTTGTGTTTAAGGATTAGGCGAGGTAATGGACTTCTGGTAGAACTGGAACACAGTAGAGAGTAAGGATGGAAGGTAGAATAGAGACACCTGGAATAGTAGTTCTTAATCCTGGCTGGAAGTCAGAAACACTTGGAGCAGGGGTTGGGGGGAGATAACAAGGCCTGGCACCTAACCTAGTGTAGTTAAATTTAGAATCTTTGTACGGGACTCAGGCTTTGATTTTGTTGGTTTTTGTTTGTTTGTTTGTTTAAGGTTGCTGGGGGTGGGTGGATAGCCAGGATTAAAAACTTCCCATCTAGAATGGTGGAAAAATAACTGAAGATGTTTGACAGGGGAGATGAGAAATGAAATTGGAGAGTTTTTGTTTTGTTTTGTTTTTTGAGACAAGGTTCTGATCTGTCTCCCAGGCTGTAGTGCTGTGTCACTATCTTGTTCTCTGCAGCCTTGACTTCCCAGTCCTAAGTAGCTGAGGCTCCAGGCGTATACCACCATGCCTGGCTAATTTTTTGTATTTTTAGTAGAGATGGGGTTTCTCCACGTTGCCCAGGCTGGTCTGGAGCTCCTGGGCTCAAGCAGACCTCCTGCCAAGGCCTCCCAAAGTGCTGGGATTACAGGCGTGAGCCAACTCACCTGGCCAAAATTCAAGTTTTTGATAGTCTGGTGGTGGTATGTGACAGAAAATGGAAAGTGTGCACACTGGAAGTTGGCGGATATATTAGACACCTGAGCTAAAATATGTCACTTAGTAGGATAAGAGATGAATACAAAAGATATAGCGAGGGAAATACTAACACAACTTGCAACATTGGGTATGGTGATGGAGAGGGGAAGAATCAAGATAGTTAAAGAAGTGGCCCTACCTCAAACCAGTTGTATTACTCTGAGTGGAGGCTGGGCATAGGTTTGTTTTTGTTTTTTTTTTTTTAAAGCTTCCCAAGTATTTGAGCACCATTACCCTGAGACATATATCTAGTCTGGGTAATAGGAGAATGATCTAAATAAAGTTGAAAGATCAGACAAGTGTATGTAACATTTGATATTTGAAGGAACATGGGATGTTAGAGAATAGAAAATGGCCAGATCAGCTGTTATTGAGTTTTTATTTTACATGTGAGGAAAGTGAAACTTAGAGAGATTAAATAACTTGTTCATGGTATTTACTAGTACCAGTGATTGCGATTAGGCTCTTCTGGTCTGAGCTATTTAATCAGCTCTGACCTCTCACCTGATAATCATTCTTCTGATGTTTTCAAATATCCATTTCTCAGCACGTACACCTTTTTCTTATCTCTGTAGAAATAATTTTCGTTAACACCATTTTGTAACTTTGGAGTCAGTGCAAAATTGTTGTTTATTTTATAGCTAATATAAAGCAGAAATGTGATTTTTACTGATAAATAAATTTTATTTCTCTTCTATAGACATTTCTCATCTATTTACTGCAGCAGTGCAAATGAGATTTCTGTTTGCTTACTAAGTCATCTCCTTTAGGATTTCAAGACTTAATACCACTTTCATCAAAAACTAAGGCACTGTTTCCTGTTACATCACGTTGAAATGCTTCATAATCGGGCTCCGCTACACCTGTCACACTACATATCCTATTTCACTTCAGCCCAGCTCTCTGTTCTAGCCAGGCTAGCCTGTTGATTTTCCTCTGAAACAACAAGCCACACATGTTGCCACAGGCATTCATGCAGAAGACTTCACTTGATGCTGGGCTTAGAAAATCATAGAATGCATGGTCGCTGCTCTGAAGAAAGAATTTAGTGGCATATTCTCGCTTGACTTATGTGCTGTTTCATGCCTAGAATACTCAGCTATTTTCTTTCTCCTAGAATTCTGCCTGATTTTCCAGGTTCACTTCAAATTCCACTTATTTAAAAGCCTTGGTTGCTTTGATGGACATGCAGTTGTGGATAAACAATAAATAATATTTCTAGATAGTCTGTGACATAATAGATACCTAGATACTAATTGAGCAAAATAATTTTTGGCATTTTTGTCCTATACTCTGTTTTTTTTTTCCATGTTTACATCTTGTCTTTTCAGCAAGATTGTCTATGCTCTCATGGCAGGGACTTCTTTTATGTTTTCCACAGAGCTAGATCCTTATAAAATACTTGCACTAAATTAAACATTATGCCATGTAACTGAGCTTATTTGGGGGAAGAGGTCAATAAAGACTATGGAATAATTTGAGGTCTTGGGTATGAGATACCAAAGGAGGTAGTTGCTAGTACTTGAGAGATTGCTCCAAATAACATCAGATGAGCATGCTTCCAAGTTTCCTGCATTACTTGCATGACCCATGATTCTAAGTTAATGAAATGAGTTTGTCCCTCTTCTCACCCACTGTCCCTGATTATTTTATGTATGTTATACTTAATGTCTTCATTTTTTACCTTTAGTATGAAGTGTAACAGAACAGACTTTACCACCTGAAACTGCTGCTTCAAGTTCAGATCAGGCAAGGAACAAACCTCGTAACAACTAACAAGACCAAAGAAGAGTACACTTAAGTTGAAGACACAACACTTGATCTGAAACAAGAAGTTTGTGCCTACTCAACAGCTTTGAAAGAGCACTTCCCAACGCTGCTAGTAGTCTTTGTTTTCTTCAGTGCTGTACTGTGAGATTGCCCGGTACAGCAGCAGTTGTATTCTTTATTAGCTTGGTAGATCATTTTCTCTCGCTCTTTTTTTTAATACTAGCAACTTTCATCCTTTGAAACGTGTGCTGAAAAAGAAGAATCAGCAAATACTACTGAAAGTGCAATATTTGAGTATCACTGCGAGGTAGGTTTGTAATTTCCTATTAAGAATCAGTTCCATAATTCTAGATTTCCTGATTATTTGGTCAAATATAAAATCTTTATTTGTTCTTTTCTAAAGGTATTCAGAAGACAGTTTTTCTATTCTCAACTAGTATGAAATATCAACACTATCTCTTGTTAGATAAGGACAGTATTTATGGTCAAACATTTTTCATACCAGATTATATTAATACATGCTGATCTCTCGACTTGCTGGTCTCTTAGAGAAGCTCCGTCTGTACTATTTAGAAGTTAGGATTTCAAATAAGAATGTGCATTGCAGTCTTTCTATGAGGGTCTGTGAAACTTTGGTGATATTTGCTACTGACGTCTGTTTCTTTCTCTCTACTGTCTTCAATGTTAGCTTCTTGAGGAAAGAACCTTACTTTATATCCATGCCTACATTTGCAGTGCATATTTGTGAACGGTATACAGTGCACATTTGTAAATGGTTGACATGCCTACTGTATTGTTAGGCATTGCTAGTGCTGAAATATAACGAATGAATAAGATACTAATGGACTTAATGATTTAGAACAATTTGTTACACAATATCACAATATAGGCTAAAAGATACTAATAAAATATTAAGAATATAACTGAAGCTGTTCCCTTGGAGGTAAGGAGGAGGGTAAAGAAAGCCTACAGAAAAGGGATATTTGAAGGTGAGTAGTACCTTGTTAAGAGGTAGAAGAGACATTGGTAGAGGTATAGAGGTAACAGAATTAGCAGATTCAGGGCTACGTGAAAGCACATGGTATATATTAAGTTGTTCATTATGAACAGAGTAGAGAATATAATTTTGCGGGAGAGTTATGAAAGGGAAGTTTGCTGGAGGCTTGGCCCAATGCATTTGTCTTTATTCCGTAGGAGAGCCATCAGATGTCTATAAGCAAGGGCTTAAGGGTTTTTCCCCCAAAAGTAAGATAGCTTTATTGCTTCACATTTTAAAGTAATATTCAGAAGTGTACCTTTAAAAGACAAATGGTGACACTTTTGAGGGAAAGGCTGAGGATGGGAAGACCTGTCAAAAGCAGTGGATCAAGTATAAGGAAGATAAAAGCTAAGGTGTAGGTAGAGAAAAAGGTAGGTGCTAGGTGTTCTGATGATTTAGAAGTGAGGACTTGGGGACCAATTGAATCTGAAGATAAATGTGGAGAGAATGGCTTTATCAAATCCAGTTGTGCAAACTAGAAACCTTCATTGTTCATAGGAATAGGGAAGTTAGAGTAGTAACTTACTGATATTAAAATATGTTATGGAAATCTATTGTGTTCATTAGATAGCAATCTGAAGTTGAAGGAAATACACTAGTATGGAATATTGAACAGTGGTTAACTTTGAGGGTAGGCTTATGAAGAGCAATTTTCCTTTTTAATCTTTAGTTTCCAGATTTTCTAAAGTTAGACATAAAGGAATTCAGAAAGGAGTCATCAGTGTATAGGTAATAAAAGGAAGAAGCACCAATGAAGAGAGCAAAGACATAGAAGTCAGGAAAAAGCACCAACGATAATTTCAGGAAGTCAATGGTAAACATTTTTTTAGATGCTACAGAGGTCAAATAAAATGAAGAATGAAAATAAGTCATTCAGTTACAAAAGCTTCACTGCTATTTCAAGAAGCGCTTAGGACTTTATTTCCAATTTATTGAAGGATTATGTAATAGTGTCAGTGACCTTGCTGTGCACTAGAATTATTCCTTAACAACTAAAAACTATAGTAAAATTATCTATGTCTCATAAACAGACACTGTTATTTAATTTTAAGGTAATTGTAGCATTTAGTTTTTCTATTTGTTTCTTCTTACCTTAGCTGATTTTTAAAAAATAATTTTAGACTAATTGTTGTGGATTCTGTTGGATTAGATAGGGAAGATTAACACAAATTGAAACCACAATTTTATGTTCTGAAGCATAAAAGATTAGATTTTTTTTTTTTTCCTCTCTGAGACAGAGTCTTGCTCTGTCGCCAAGGCTGGAGTGCAGTGGGGTGATCTTGGCTCACTGCAGCCTCTGCCTCCCAGGTTCAGGTGATTCTTCTGCCTCAGTCTCCTGAGTAGCTGAAATTACAGGCGCGCATCACCATGCCTGGCTTATTTTTGTATTTTTAGTAGAGACGGGGTTTCACCGTGTTGGCCAGTCTGGTTTTGAATTCCTGACCTTGTGATCCACCCGCCTCGGCCTCCCAAAGTGCTGGGATTACAGGCATGAGCCACCGTGCCTGGCAAGATTAGATATTAAGGCTTTCATTTCATTGACATGATTTATAGAAATAGATTTAACGAAGTCCTTTTTGTTTAGTGTAATCTTTGTATTCTGAATATTAGTTTACTACATGAACATTTTAATATATAAATGCATCCATAGCTGTCTAAAAATTACATGTTTACATATGTACAAAGAAACCACAATTGGGATGAAGATTATTGGCAGTAAAACATGGCTGTGGTTGTACAGTTGTGAAATAGTTCAGTTAAAGGGGGCACACAGCTAAGAAAACAGATTTGGTAATGCAATGGAACCCCCAGATTTTAAAGGGGGGTTTTGTAAAATCAGTAAAAATAGTACGTAATTAGGAACAAATATATATAGAAGGGTAGAATTAGCCATAAAATGGCAAGAAAGAATAAGGCTTATAAAGCATTTGTTTGAGATGTGAAAATAGACCTGAATTGTTTGGTGAATGATTTGATCCAGGTTAGTCTAAAGGTGACAGACAAGAGAAAAGCAAAACTAGAAAATTCCTGTCGCGCTCCTAGTTTTTTCTGCTGAATGCAATAATTTTCATACTTGAAACATAGCAAAGCAAGAGAAAACTGAGGCCCCAGATGAGTGAGAAAATAACAGGATTACTTGGCGGTTGCTAGGGTGCTAGTTGCTAGGTGTGTGATAGTAGTCAAATAGAGACCTATGACAGGAACTGTAAATGTCCTGATTTTTCAGTCAGATGTGGGAACTATTGAGCTTACTTTTCATCCCTAGCAAAAACCCCAGAGCCAGTGAATAAATAACTTGGCAGACTAGCTCATGATAGCATAATGGTCAATATGGAGAAATGTTGGATGGATAGCAGTTAGTAAGAGACTGATTTTAGAGAAGTCTCCAGGTGTATGCTGCCAGATGCTATCCTCGCCCTGCTTTTTTCAGAGACCTAATGAGTAGTTCTGTGAGTACCTATGTGCTACGTAAGCACTTATTTTAGGCTTTTTACGTGCAGCAACTCATTTAACCATCTCAACAACTCTGTGAGACAGGTGTTAAGGTAGGAGAATGAATGATTAAAAGATAAACTACAAAGAGTCTGATAATTTAAAATTAGTCACCAAATTGGAATACTAGATTAACCAACAGAAGGCATTTTAAAAGCATTAGGTTATAGTTTTTTTATTTGGGAACAAACGATCCATTACGGAGGAACTGAAAGAAAACCTGATTTCGCTAATGTGATTTGTGAAGAAATGATGGGGATGTGTTTTAGTTTTACAAAGTTATAAAACTTCAGTCTACAGAATCAAGGAGTGTAATCACTCAGTACTTTATATTGGTCGGGTACATTAAGAATAGTAGTGAAATGCACTTTAATGAATAATTACTTAGAACCTATCCAGAAGACAGCAATTAGTGTTAAAAATGGTTGTGTTCAGAAAATTGGAAGAAACAGTGGAAGTCAAGGGGAGGTATGTCTGAGAATACAGAGTAGTTTTCTAAAGATCTTATGGTGAAATAGGCTACCTTTTCCAAATTGATTGTCAATCAGTAGAAGCCAAGCAGACCAGATTAGGGGGGAAAAACAACTTAGATGTTGTAATAAATTACAAAGCATAGATTTCCACCCCCTCTCCCCAAAGGAACTTGGAAACCAGTTAGGTGCTCCCACTTTACTTTTGAGGAAAAAATCCCAGAGATGTTAAAAGTACTTGAGAGTCAGGACTGAAAGCCAGTCTTTTGACTTTTATGTTCTTCAGGGAACTTTAATCAATTTCTTGAGTTACAAATGAAGTTTAAATTTGACCTGAGATTTGTTCCATTTCTGCTTTTATTAAAGGAGGACTAATTTTGTCAATGACTTTTTCAGTTTAAAAGTAAATATGTAGAAAAGGGTAGAAGGTCTAAACTTTATGAGGCTGGAGATATTTGTCTGTTGTGTTACCTACTATATGAGTAGAACCTAAAATAATGCTGATGCATTGTATGAACTTAATTGTGGTTGAATGAATAAGGCAGTGGTTAAGAATGGAGTCAGAACTGGATTCTGTTCCCACATTTGCCATTTTTAGCGCTGTGCCCTTAAGATGGCTAAGTGTTTTCTCATCTGTGAACATTAGATTTTCTGGTCTTTAAATACATTTGAAATCATACTGTATAAATATCTTATGTCTCATTTCCTATTACAGAATAAGCATTTTCCACATATTGTTTCCAATGACCACATAGCATTACATAAGTTACAATGACGTCTTGAGCTATAAAGTGTGTTAGACTTTATATTATTTCCAGGAATTTGCTACAAAAATATATTTGTTAAAATACTTGTGTATAAAGCTTTTTTCACATTTCAGATTTCCCCAGGAGAGCTTTTCTGCAATGCAGTTATTAAGAAAAATATCTCCACATTTTGATACATGTTGCTAAATTGCATTTCTAAAAGGTTGTACCAATTTACTACCATAAAAGTGGTGTGTGTGTTGTTCTTAGCTCACTTTTTCATTATTTTAAAATCTTACGTCTTTGCTAGTTTGGTATATGAAAGTATTAATTTGCTTTATCTGGATTTTTTATTGCAAAAATTCAAGTTTTTTTTTAATGTTTAATGTTTTAGCTTTTGTGTATAAAGTTTAATAATTGATATTCAAGAATGATTTATTTGCTCACTTAATCAGTAATTCAACATATGAGTGCCTGCTCTGTGCCAGGCACTGTTTATCTAAAATCTAGGGATTTAGCTTTGAATTGAAAGTTCTGCCCCTCAAGAAGCTTATATTCTGGTAATTTAATTGTACTGATTTGCCCTATCTACTCTGGTGTATTTACACTTTTCCCCCAGGTTTGAGTATAAAAGCTTGTGCTTTTTGTATAATCAGATATCAGTCCCTTGTGATTTTTTTTTAATTGATTTCAAATCTAGAAAGTTCCGCCCTTGCAAAGATTTTACAAATATACTCATCCATGGGGGTGTGTGTGTATGTTTTGGGGTTTTTGTTTGTTTGTTTTTGTTGTTTTGTTTTTGTTTTTGTTTTGAGACAGGGTCTCACTCTGTCACCCAGGCTGGAGTACGGTGTCAGGATCATGGCTTGACCTCCCAGGCTCTGGTGAACCTCCCACCCCAGCCTCTTGAGTAGCTGGAACTATAGGCATCCAGCTAATTTTGGCTAATTTTTGTATTTTTTTGTAGAGACAGGGTTTTGCCATGTGCCTAGGCTGGTCTCAAATTCCTGGGCTCAGGTGATCTGCCACCTCGGCCTCTCAAAGTGCTAGGATTACAAACGTGAACCACTGAGCCTGGCTGGTTTTTAAATATTTTTTAAGACATTAAACTCGGTTCATTTGAATACATTTTTACATGCTGTTAGGCAAGCAACTAAATTGTGGATTTTTTTCCCCCCTATTTAAAGAAGAAGTCAAGTAACATTTACCTACTGGGTCCTTCCTACCACCACCTTTGTTAGCATCTTTAATTTTTTATAAACAAGGTTCTGTTAAATTATCTACTTCCATTTGTCCTATACTTTCATGTAATTGTTTTTGTGATAACTTCCATTTTGCTTGTTTTTTGATGGTGCTGATTAAGAAATATTTGCAATGCCATTAAAATATAGTTTAGCCAAATTATTAGGAATTCTTTGAAAAGTATTAACATGTCACATGTCACATCAACTTATCTAAAGTTGTTTGAGTGGTGTGTTTCCCTTTGGAAAAATAAAATAAAGGCTTCCTCCAAATGGATAAAGGCTAGGGAAAGAGAGCTCTAGTCAGCAAAGATTCTGGGAGAAGGGGAAGGCTTTTTCAACTCTTTTGGTATGTGTCTAGGGATGAGACGGAGACTCGAACAGTAGAGCCCAGATTCCAACATTCTTGTTGGGGAACAACTTAGAGTCTTAAAATGCTAGCTTTGATGCTTTCTAATTCTGGTTCAGTCTCCCTTTGGGTGAGAAAAAGAGGATTTCTATCTCCTACCTGCAGTGATGTGTGGCAGGATTGGAGACTTGAGAATGGGGATATTTTGCAGCTTTAAGGCATATATATTTCAGATCATATCATTGTGTTCTTGTTTAATAGTAATCAGAACTATAGTCTAAACATGAGGCCAAGTGCAGTGGCTCACGCCTGTAATCCCATCACTTTGGGAGGCCAGGGCGCAGTGCAGGGGCCGGATCACTTGAGGTCAGGAGTTCCGAGAACAGCCTGGTCAACATGGTGAAACCCCGTCTCTACTAAAAATACAAAATTTGGCTGGGTTTGGTGGCGCACACCTGTAGTCCCAGCTACTTGGGAGACTGAGGCAGAGGGATCACTTGAACCCAGGAGGCAGAGGTTGCAGTGAGCCAATATCGTACCACTGCACTCCAGGCTGGGTGACAGCGAGACTCCATCTCAAAAATAAATTAATTCAGCCTGGGTGACAGAGCAAGACTGTGTCTCAAAAATAAATTAATTAATTAAATAAACAAACAAACATGAAAGAAGCACAGCTTGAAAGTCCCTCAGTGATCTAGAATAATGGTTCTCAAGTTAATTTTATACTGCTTGTCAGTTAAAAACATGTATTTTCGATATGTGTATATGTTTACAAATTGTGTAATTATAATTCTGTGTCTGCATTGTAAAACACAGTGGTACAAATAGGAAAAATGTGAAGTGAGGGATATTATAAAAAGTTTACTTGTGCAGAAATGTTCTGTTAGAAATACTATGTTCTGGATTGCTGGTTTTTAAGTGTTTAATTTTAAAAAGCTTTATAATATCATGAATTAGTATCAGGGAAATCTACATTTGTGTGTTGTATTGCAACTAATTTAAGTCCATGTCATAGTCTTGATCTTAACTGTTTGGCATACTTACCATATCTCGTTAGATGGTTTCTTAATGTGGAGGTTGAAGAACTAGTACTAGGAATAGAAATGTCAGTTCCCTTGCTCTTTGCATGTGCTTGCCTTATCTTCCATCTGAGGTTCTTCTGCGGGAATCTTTCAACCATTTGTCTATTTGGGCTTTTTTGTTTTTCTGGGATGGAGTCTTGCTGTGTTGCCCAGGCTGGAGTGCAGTAGCACAATTTCGGCTCACTGCAACCTCCGCCTCCTGGGTTCAAGCAATTCTCATGCCTCCCCCTCCTGAGTAGCTGGGACTACAGACCCATGCCACCATGCCTGGCTAAATTTTGTATTTTTGGTAGAGACAGGCTTTCACCATGTTGGCCGTGCTTGTCCCAAACTCCTGACCTCATGTCCACCCCGGCCTCCCTGTGCTGGGATTACAGGTGTGAGCCACTGCATCCGGCCTCATTTGTCTTATTTGTGAAGGTAGCTTAGTTACACTAGATAACTAAATTTATATATCTCCTTATCGGGCATACGGTAATACGGTAAGAGCAAATGAGTGAGGACTTCACTGTTGGCCTCTTTTGGAGTTCTCCACTCTTTCCTCAGAATACCTGAGTAATACATGATACTCATAGACCATCTGACATACCAACTCGGTGAAACCTAGACTATAAATACATAGTAAATATTTATAAAAGCTCATTTTTATCTCTGGGCAGAAAAATAGTCCCAGTTATTTTCTTCTGCACCCCATTGGGTTATCAGTGTGTACTCTAGGGAGACTAGTGACTAAAAATGATAGGTTCTATTTAAAGTTGATCGGCATTGAAAAGAAATTGGACTGAATAGTCTCACTCCAACAACCATCAAGAGTCTTTGTGGCATTTTCAGAATTGTTGATGTCATCGTATGTTTTAATGGCTTTAAAAAAAATACATTTCACCTTTTATAGTAATGTTAATTCTATGTATTTCCTGTCAATAGAAATCTAATTTATATTTCGCTAAACCCAAGCTAAAAATATATATTGACTGTGAAATGTGCATTAAATTGTTATTGATCATAGTTATCAACATTATGCTATGTTATAACAGCTGTTTGAGATGGAGAACGTTTTTACTGTGTCATCAGATCCTCATCCCTCTCCTGCAGCCCCTCCTTCACTTTCTTTACCCTTATCTTCATCTTCTACCTCATCTGGGACTAAAAAACAAAAGAGGACCCCAACTTATCAGAGATCTGTAAGTCAGGAAAGCAGTCATCTCAGCTTACCTTGCTTTGTGTTAAGAGCATGACCTAGGATTGCCACTCATTCTGGTTGAAATATCTTGCCGACTCACCTTCTAACTTCCCGAATCATTTTTTTCACCTTCACTCTTGAAAGATAACTTCAGTAGATTAGGGTCTTACTGCCCAAAGTATATCTAAGAATCAGAAGCATTATTATCACCTTGGATCTTAATAAAGATGGAAAATTTCAAATCCCCATACCTACTGAGTCTGATTTTATATTTTAACTTCTCATTTGAGAAGCCCTGGTTTACAGCCAGACCTTCTTGGTTTGAATCTTCTACTATTTGACTTTGGCAAGTCATTTAACTTCTCTGTGTCTGTTTTCTCATTGGTAAAATGAGGCGAATACAATACTTTCTTGTGGGCTTTTGTGAAAGTTAAATGAGTTAATATATGTTAAACACAGAACAGTGGCTAGTGTAGAAGAATTAGGACGTAACCACCTACAGGTGTGGTGGCTTTGATTTACGTGATTTGACCATCACACATATCGTTGACTCAAACTTTGGTTTATCTTTCTAGAATTTGTTACTCTTTTTTCCTAGTGAAAATATATCCTTTTTATTAATAATGCCCAACATTCCACTTAAATGGAAATACTTATAAATCAGATTTTCAGTGAAAGGGTCTAAAACATAATTGTAATGATTTAGAAATGTCATTACTGTGGTAAATTATAGACCTAGGCTTTGCTAAGGATTTCGTCCTGTTTTGTGCTTCACTTATAGTTTTTGTTGTTTTACTCAAAGAAGGGAAATGGAACATCCAATGTGATAGTATTTTATGACCTAGGCAGATTCCATTATATTGCTTTTAAATAGCTCCTATTTCACTAAAGAATGGGAACGAAGTGATAGTTACAGATTTCATCAGTATGTAAAAAGTGAAGGGTTTCTTTTAGGTAAAGATTTCTTTAAATGTACCTGTGAAATGATTCAGCATTTTTAAAATGGAAATGCTTTTGCTGTCTTGGAGTTTTGTTGTTTCAGAAGTTTTCTACTGCACTATTTTGGATAGTCTTTCATTAAAGGACCTAAGCATGAATTACTCTGAAATTTTCTAGTTTAAGTATTGCATAGAAAGTTCATTTTATTGTGTTAATCTCTACTAACTTGAAATATGCCTTCCAAATGCATGACTTACTAAACAGTATTAAGGTATTGGCTGAAGTTTCAAAATAGCGTTACCAAATCTCTTAAGAGTCTTTGGTAGTTTGTGGTCGCTGTCTCTTAATATTAATTACCTTTGTTCTGAAATTGTTGTTTTAGTAATTTTCACTTCATGTAAAGGCAGCATTTGCTAATGTAGTTGCTATACCTTAATATTAAACCCCAGAAATTCTATTTTTGTCTGATAAGTGGAAATTCTACCATAATTTGGGGCAATTCCCCAATATAATAAGTTGTTTCCTCTGAAATGTTTTATTAGCTAAATTAATGCTGCAGTAATAAAGTCTATAATCTTCCCTTCATTTTACTTTTTTTTGCGTTTTTATATGGAAGATTTAGTGACTTATTAACCAGACTTAATATGCTATGGAGATAATGTACAGATATGTATATATTCTTTTTCTTTTTAAAACAGATGAGCTTTGATCCAAACCTTCTCCACAACAATGGACATAATGGGTACCCTAATGGTACTTCAGCAGCACTGCGTGAAACTGGGGTTATTGAAAAACTGTTAACCTCTTACGGATTTATTCAGTGTTCAGAACGTCAAGCTAGACTTTTCTTCCACTGTTCACAGTATAATGGCAACCTGCAAGACTTAAAAGTAGGAGGTAATCTGTCAGTTCTCCTTTGTAAAAATGTAATCACAAAATTTGTCTTGCATATCAATTTGTTCATGAGTGTTTTTCAAAAAGTTTTATGTAAATTAAAACATTTTGGACTTTTAGTTGTACTGTTTAGTGAAGAATATCTGTATAAACCAGCAGAATCCTTGAAAGATTATATTTGCATATATTTACAATAAATGCTTGGAAGATTTCATTGTTTTTCCCCATAATGATGACTGTTTACCCGTAAGATTTTAAGCCAGTACGAATATTGAACTTTTGTAATGTTACTTATGATTATTCTGTCAGGTACTATTTTGGGTAGTACCTGAAAAAAGTAATCCTTAGAGTGTCACCTCTTAGAAGCTGGGCGCGGTGGCTTACGCCTGTAATCCCAGCACTTTGGGAGGCCGAGGCGGGCAGATCACGAGGTCAGGAGATAGAGACCATCCTGGCTAACACGGTGAAACCCCGTCTCTACTAAAAATACAAAAAATTAGCTGGGCGTGGTGGCAGGCACCTGTAGTCCCAGCTACTCGGGAGGCTGAAGCAGGAGAATGGTGTGAACCTGGGAGGCGGAGCTTGCAGTAAGCCAAGATGCCACCACTGCACTCCAGCCTGGGCGACAGAGCGAGACCCCGTCTCAAAAAAAAAAAAAGTCACCTCTTAGATTATATGGAAATTCATTGTGGCTGACACCATACAAATTATTTCACAGGCCTGGCATGGTGGCTCATGCCTGTATTCCCAGCATTTTGGGAGGCCAGGGCAAGTGGATTGCTTGAGCTCAGGAATTCAAGACCAGCTTGCAGCCTGGGCAACATGGCAAAACCCCATCTCTACAAAAAATGCAAAAATTAGCTGAGGAACGTGACATGTGCCTGTAGTCCCAGCTACTAAGTAGACTGAGGTGGGAGGATCGCTTGAGCCCGCAAGGTAGAGGTTGCAGTGAGCTGAGATCGTGCCGCTGCACTCCAGCTTGGGTGACAGGGAGACTCTGTCTCAAAAAAAAAAAAAAAAAAAAAAAAAAAAAGTTTTTACATGTGAAGTGTTTGGCTTACTAAAGGACTGAAATTATGAGGCCTCTGTGCATTTTTAAAAAACGTTTGAGAAAAGAGTCAGTATAATAGCTAACAAGATGCATGCTATAGGAACATTGTTTTGGTTAATCCTCATGGCAGTCCTGTTAGGAATTATTCTCCTTTTACATAAGAGAAAACTGAGGTACAGAGGAGTTTAAAAAAAAAACTCGCCAAAGGTTATGATTGTTAAGTCATCTCATTTGTAGTATGTGTAAATGCCATAAAAACTAAGATTAAGACATGGCTATCTTAGCATAAGATGGTGGTTCTGAAACATTTGTGTGTATCAGAATTAGTGGAAGGCTTGTTAAAACACAGATTGCTATACTTGATCCCCAGAGTTTGTCTTTGGCTAGGACTAGAGTTAGGCCCAGTATTTCTTTTAAGCTCCCAGGTGATGTTAATGCTGCTGGTCCAGGGACCACACTTTGAAAACCACTGGTCTAAGGCAATTCAAATGCTATGTTAAGTATAGCTTGGAAGCAATATATCGTTTCGCAAAAATCAGTTCAACAAACATAACACATTATTTATTTTTAGATGATGTTGAATTTGAAGTATCATCGGACCGACGGACTGGGAAACCCATTGCTGTTAAACTGGTGAAGATAAAACAAGAAATCCTCCCTGAAGAACGAATGAATGGACAAGTTAGTGACTTTGATGCTTTGTGTTTTTTTAGGGCCCTGCATTTGCATATCTTTCACATTAGAAAAGGAAGATTCTCCCCATCTCCTCAGTTTGCACGAAAGAGAGCTATAGTATATAAAGATTACTATTTTAAAATTAATCAAAAGCACTGGCATTTCTTGACCTGAAATAAAAATATGGTCAAGACTCAATTGGGTTTTTACATATAACCCTGAGTCAATGCTTACAGTCAATTTACATACTGTAAGTTTGAAACTTGGCAGCATGACATCCTCTTGTGGATCATATTAAAATGCATCCCTGTATATAGTATAGAGGATATTAAAATTCAGTTTATATTGCACAGTGCTGCTCCTGAAATGATTAGCAATGGAAATTTTTTTTTTTTTGACTGGTAGGTTGTGTGCGCTGTTCCTCACAACTTAGAGAGTAAATCTCCAGCTGCCCCGGGTCAGAGTCCAACAGGGAGTGTATGCTACGAACGTAATGGGGTAAACTTGTGTATTTTTCTTAAACCTTTGCCTGATCCACCATGTGATCTATAAGCGTACTTTAAAATTCAAAATAGAAAACGTAAGCTGCAATTGTTAAAATCAGTTTTAAATTTGGTTTCTAAGAGGCTTCAAATGCAGCATAATCAAAAAATTTAAAAAGAAAAATTCCATAGGACTTCCAAGTGTCTTAGTTTGCCCAAGTATGACCTTAGTTAGAACATTAAGGTAAAATGTTCCTTTTAATCACTTTTTTGGGGGTTGTGGGGGGGATCTTTTTCTGGTTTCTTTTAAGCACTAACACCAGCTTTTTTTGTTTGGAATGCCTTATATAAAATTGTTTTTTTGAAATGTAACTATAGTCTCTGGGCAAATGCTTCCACGTGTGTAAGCTTTTTGAAGTTGGATTGCTGCTCAGCTGTGGACTCGCAGAAGTCATCAGCACCATGGAGGGGAAGTGTGTGTTTATATGAATAAAGTGACTTGTCATAAAGCATTTAATTTTAAGAAATTTGGCTTAAAATGCCAGTATAAGAGGTTTTTAAGTAAGTAAATCACAGTATACAGTGAATATGCATCCTGCCAAAATAGTAATAATGATTTATTAATTCACAGGAAGTGTTTTATCTGACTTACACCCCTGAAGATGTCGAAGGGAACGTTCAGCTGGAAACTGGAGATAAAATAAACTTTGTAATTGATAACAATAAACAGTAAGTTCTTTTTTTTTAAATTTTCTCACCTAAGCGGTTTTTTTTTCCCCCCTCCATTAAGAAATTTGAATAGAGTTAAAAACCTAACTTGTAAGTCTGGATAGTTTTCATGAACTTTCAATTCATCAACTAATGCTTTGAGGTCTATGAATATTGTATTACAGCCATGATGCAGGGTCTCAGAGGAAGATGATAATTAAAACATTGTTAGGCATTTTAAGGACTTGTTCTAGAGATCAGTGAAGGTTTTTCAAAAAATAGTGCTTTGAGGTAAGTTTTGAGGGAGGGGTATAGTCACTATAGAGAGGTGAGAAAAAAGCATTATGATTAGAAGTATCATGACATGTTGGGGGAAAATGGCCAAAAGTTTGGTCGAACTGACCAGAAGGTAAAGTTTGAGCATTCTTCTATGTAGGAATCTGCGTTGTTTAAAACAAGGAAGTGTGATTGGTTTAGATCTTTGGAGGTGGTGGAAGTGGTAGACTTTTGAAAGGTGGGGATGCTGTTGACCAGAGGCAGTGATGTGAGAGTTAACGTGAAAGATGACCGCCTGATATGGATAGACTAAGAGGATGGGGTGGAGGAGTCAAGTCATATTGAGAAGATAGAATCATCAATCTTAATTGATTTGATAAAGGTGGGGTTGGAATTAAAGGGAGTCCCAAATACTGTTTTTCTGGCCTGGCCTACTGGGCAGATGATGGTACCATAAACTGGGCTAAGGAGACATAAGGAGAATGTTCAAGGTGGGAAAAGAATCATACTTATCTTGGCAATTTTTGAGTGTGAGATGTTTGTGATATATCTGGGTAGAGATATCAAATCTACAGTTGCGTGTATAGGTCTGAGACTTAGACCTATTAAGTCTAAGGTCTATTTCCTGCCTATAGGGGAAGTATATAGAGCTGTAGAATTCATCAGCATACACAGTTAAGGAAAATGTAGTTAAGAAAGCCCAGGGAGAATATTATTTTTATCTTGGCATAGGAGAGATGAGAGATGCAAGAGGAGAAGGAAATTAAAATAGAAAGTTGGAGAAAGTGCTAGTAATGTACCTTCCAGTAGCATGTGGAGGGAAAAGTCCTAAGAGCATGTCTGGGATTATCTGCCTTGAACCTTATCTCTTTCTTGGCAAGCCTTGAAGGAATCAGATTGTGTTGTAGGTGTGGTTATTATTAGTTACAGTCTGAAGGCCTCAATTTATATAGTTGTTAATCTCAGAACAGCCTTACCTGGTAAGTTTCTTCATCTGTAAAATGACGTATAAGTTCTCACAAAGTTACTTGTCGATGTTCATACTGCTTTTAAATAGCAGGCATTTAAATTCCCATCTGACTCTAAAGCGTTTTCACTGCAGTAAGTTACAAAAACAGGTAGAATTTTTCTGGTGTCTTTGTTAGTCTGTAACATTTTTTTAAATAAAAAGCACATTTTGGGTTATTTGTCTGTGAAAAATTAAGGGAAGTAATTGCTTGGTGTATAGGTCTTTTCTTAAAACATTTAGACTAACAGTACCATTATGTCTTATACAGTCTATGTTATCTTAAAAACAAAATTGAATTTACATCGCTGCTACACAAATATGAAGGCATAAAAGCAACATGTGGTGTCTCTAACTTGTTTCCATTCTCCAATGGAGGTGGATATCATTACTTTTAAAAGCATAGCAAGTTCTCTTAAAGTCACTTCATTTACTCAACTTTTATGGCTGTTTACTCAGAAATAATTAATGAGATAGCTACTAAATTTAGCACTCACTGAAAATAGAGACCATCTCCTATTTATCTCTGTATCACCAGTACCTTACTTTGCCGCAGATTATACCTACACAAATGTTTGTTTAATGAATAACCTTTATAAGACTTTAGTATTCCCCACCTTTGGTAGCATTCGCTTTGTGGCTTTATTTCAGTTATTTTGTTGAAATAGAAAAACAGAGTAGAACATCACGCACCCATGTGTAAGTTTGTAAAAAAGCAAATCTTCCAACAACAGTCCCAGAGAAAGATGACCTATATATATATTTGCCAAACGTAGAAGGCTAAGGAGTTAAAGTCCTTTGCATATAAAGCCATATGAAAATAATCAAATGTCATAAACCCTGTATTTATTCTTAGTGATGATAGAATTCTTAAAGCCCCAGGAAACTAGTTTCTTTAGACTCATATCTAAGCAGGCCAATACATTTTTAATCCCTGTTTCATTCCTCCTCCCTGCAATTATTTTTTTTCTAGTACTGGTGCTGTAAGTGCTCGCAACATTATGCTGTTGAAAAAGAAACAAGCCCGCTGTCAGGGAGTAGTTTGTGCCATGAAGGTAAGTGTTAAATTTGAGAAACTTGAGTTTTCTTTGGCCACTTGAAATGTTGTACTTCAAACTCCAGCCTTTGTTTTTTTTTTTCTTTTTTATCTTACCCTTTTAAAATATTTCACTGTTAACCTCAAAAGTAGTCTCTTAAAATTCCTTGGTTGCTAATACATTATCTTCTTTAAAATTGGCTGTTTAATTGATAATATTAGGTTGTACCAAATTATATTATTGTGACTACAGTATAATTTTACAAAAATTACTGGTTTTAAGTTGTAATCATAAATTTGTACAGAGTGGTAATAATGTTCTTGGTTTTTTATTTTGCTTCAGGAGGCATTTGGCTTTATTGAAAGAGGTGATGTTGTAAAAGAGATATTCTTTCACTATAGTGAATTTAAGGGTGACTTAGAAACCTTACAGCCTGGCGATGATGTGGAATTCACAATCAAGGACAGAAATGTAAGACAGTCAGTTAACTTGATCTTTGGCCTTTTAAGATCAGAGTTGGTTTATGTTTTTAAGAAACACTTAAAATTATGTGATTCTTCCTTCCTCTGTCCCCCCACCACCTCCAACCCCTTCTGATTTAGGGTAAAGAAGTTGCAACAGATGTCAGACTATTGCCTCAAGGAACAGTCATTTTTGAAGATATCAGCATTGAACATTTTGAAGGAACTGTAACCAAAGTTATCCCAAAAGTACCCAGTAAAAACCAGGTAAATAATCTTTTTCAGGAGAGTCCTATTTCGCCTCAGTAGTAATAGAATAATATGGTGTGGTATACTGAGATTTTATCTTATTCAGTTAATATAATGTGGTAGTGGAACAACTAAGGACCTCTTGTTACGTATATTTAAACTAAAAGAGAAACCAGATTTATATATTCATAAATATGGTGTTTTTTTTTTTTTTTTTCTTTTTTTGTGACAGAGTCTCGCTCTGTCGCCAGGCTGGAGTGCAGTGGCGCGATCTCGGCTCACTGCAACCTCCGCCTCCCGGGTTTAAGCGATTCTCCTGCCTCAGCCTCCCAAGTAGCTGGGACTACAAGGGCATGCCACCACACCCAGCTAATTTTTGTATTCTTAGTAAAGACGGGGTTTCACCCTGTTGGCAAGGATGGTCTCGATCTCTTGACCTTGCGATCTGTCCACCTTGGCCTCCCAAAGTGCTGGGATTACAAGTATGAGCCACCTCGCCCAGCCAAATATGTATTTTTTTTTACTGGGTGATGAAAAAAGGCCAAAGAAGAAAATGCTAATTAAATTGGAAAGCACCTGATTGGATTAGACTGCAGTTCAGGTGTACATTTGTTCCCTCCTCTGCCCCTGCCCTACCCCTCCAGTTTGTGGGGAAGGTGAGGACACAAGTGGTGTCATTCCTGGAAAAATTCCTTAAATAAAATCTTTTGGTACCAGAGTGCTGGGTCTTAATTGCATTGTTGTAATTTTATGGTTGACTCGTGTGACCATAGACCATGAAGCTTTCACATTGGACTTATGTTGTCAACACCTTTTTTCGCTTCAGGGAACTAAGTTAAAAATAACATGGGTTTACTATGTGTTCTTCTTGTTTGACTTAGAACTAGGAAGGATGAGAAATCTCCAGCTAAAATCGTTTTTCCTTCTCATCAGAATGACCCATTGCCAGGACGCATCAAAGTTGACTTTGTGATCCCTAAAGAACTTCCCTTTGGAGACAAAGATACGAAATCCAAGGTGACCCTGCTGGAAGGTGACCATGTTAGGTTTAATATTTCAACAGACCGACGTGACAAATTAGAGCGAGCAACCAATATAGAAGTTCTGTCAAATACATTTCAGTTCACTAATGAAGCCCGAGAAATGGTAAGTGTTGGATATTACTGGATATGTATCTAATATGCGAAAGCCAATGTTATATTCAAGTTTATACTACTAAATTAAAATTTTTCTTAAGTTAAATGACCCTAATGGGCATTTACCTTGTTAAGGTGATTAAGAATCATACACATTTGAGTCAGTCTGGGTTATCTCTGGCAGTTATCTTGGAAATATATGTGAAAAAATTTTTTGAATGGAAATCTGGACAGGATTACTAAGATATTTTTAGAGTCAGTGATTCTCAGGCCCTTAATATGAAGAGTAAGAAAATTCAAGTTCATCATTGTAGAAAGTAGATTTTCCCAAACTATTTCCTAAGACATTTAATTAGTGGTTTCTGTTTTTAGGAAACACAATTCTTCCTCCAGTGTGGTCCAGGGAAGCCAAAAGATTGAACACCCATGATCTAGACACTAGATCACACATAAAATACACTAACAGCAATGATAGCTGATGAGCTTTTTTAAAAAAAAAATCATAGGCACGGTGGCTCACACCTGTAATCCCAGCACTTTGGGAGGCTGAGGCGGGTGATCACTTGAGGTCAGGAGTTCAAGACCAGCCTGGCCAACATGGTAAAACCCCGTCTCTACTAAAAATAGAAAAATTAGCCAGGTGTGACGGTGGGCACCTGTAATCCTAACTACTCAGGAGGCTGAGACAGGAGAATCGCTTGAACCTAGGAGGCAGAGGTTGCAGTAAGCCAATACCATGCCGTTGCCCTGCAACCTGGGTGACAGAGGAAGACTGTCTCAAAAAAATAATTGCAAAAACATCTCATCATGTTTTAAGAAGGTTTAACAATTTGTTGTGTTGGGCCACATTCAGAGCTGTCCTAGGCCATGGTTTGGACAAGCTTGCAATTAAACCAGAGTCAAAAAGGTTTTGTTTTGGCAGAACTTCACAAATTGTTTTTTAAGAGTTTGTGTCTGGGAGTGGCATAAACCAACCAGATTTTTTCCCAAACATGTTTTATGAACTCATTTTCTCAGACATAATTTGCATTTAGTTACGTTTGGGATCATATCATCTACACTATAACTCAGTGTTGCCAGTGGAACTGGGTACATTGAATGAAAATTTAAGTTTCTTGAGTTTTTTTTAATCCTTTGCCTTTGAAGAACTGGTTGTATTTGACACAGTGTATTTAACTTTAAAAGTTTGTAAGTCTGAATGTGTGATTTTTTTTTTTTTTTTTACATTTTCAAAGGCAAGATCTGTTTTGCTTTACGGTATGGAAAATATAACTTGGCTACTGTCAGGACTTGGCAAGGATTAAATGTCAAAATATTGTTTAGGTCATATTTAAAACTTACAGAATCACTTCTGCAGTGAGCAGATATGTAGTATGTAATACAATAGCAGATTGATAATTTGTGTTCATTGTTTCATTAAACATGAGTATCTACCATGTTCCAGGTACTCTTGATACAGTAAGCCTTACAAAGCTGATAATTTAGTAAGAAGGAAAAAAAAAAAAGAGAAAAGATTGCATATATTTTATTCTTCAGATGTAAATTTTAACTCTTTCCTGGGCCTAAACTCATGCAATTTTTGAGGTAGAGACTGGAGAAGTGCCTTTGTCTACTTTGGAATTATGGTCTGTAAATTAGTGAAGTTTCTGGAGATTATATTGTCATTAGACTTGGGCTTTTATGAAATACATTGTGTTCACGTGTTTACGTTCACATGTGGTAATTTTTTCTAGTGCATATTTGCCAGGAAGTAGCAATTGGAGAGTCTTAGAAAATTGCTCAGGTTAAGTTACTTTGTTGAAAGCAATGAGTTTGTACTTAAGTGAGAACAGTTCAAATGTGGATACAGTATTTGTGTCACATCAGAGAAAATTCCTGATGAATTTAACTTGATGGTGGTTGTAAAGTTGAATGTTGCCTTCTTGACAAGTTTCACAGCCAGTGAAAATATTATTTGGGTTTCAGGGTGTGATTGCTGCCATGAGAGATGGTTTTGGTTTCATCAAGTGTGTGGATCGTGATGTTCGTATGTTCTTCCACTTCAGTGAAATTCTGGATGGGAACCAGCTCCATATTGCAGATGAAGTAGAGTTTACTGTGGTTCCTGTGAGTTGTTTCTGAGAAAAGTTGGGAGGTGTTTCTTGATGCTTTCTTTTTCAATTGAAAGTTAATTTTGTTTTATCATTTTTAGGATATGCTCTCTGCTCAAAGAAATCATGCTATTAGGATTAAAAAACTTCCCAAGGGCACGGTTTCATTTCATTCCCATTCAGATCACCGTTTTCTGGGCACGGTAGAAAAAGAAGCCACTTTTTCCAATCCTAAAACCACTAGCCCAAATAAAGGCAAAGAGAAGGTAGGTTTTGCATAATCCAAATGATTTTTGTAGCTGTTTATTTCTCTTCTGCTTTAACAGCACATAGTAATAGAGTACATATAATCAGCGGAAGTTTGTCTCTTTCAGAATTTCTGTCATATTAACAGTGAACTAAACAAAGTAAGGTTTCTTAACCTTGGGATTATTGACATTTTGGGATGAATGATTCTTTACTGTGGGGGATGGGATGTTTAGCAGCATTTCTGGCCTCTACCCACTGGAAGTTAGTATTCTGACCCCTTTTCCCTGCCTCCCATTGTGACAGCCAAAAATGTGTCCAGACATTGCCAAATGTCCCCTGGGAGGCAAACTCATTCCAAGTAGAGAACTAGTTATATAAAATGATAGTACTGTCTTCCAGGCAATTTAAAACTTTCAAAGTTGGGTGTATCCTCAGTTCACACATTTAAATTTCATTTATTGAAAAATCCACTAAATAGGAAATAGAAAGATGTCTGAGATGAATTCTCCTTTCAAGTTAATAACAAATTGAGAGTTTTATAGAAACAAGTAATTCATATAGAATATAAAATATTGCTATTGAAGGTCAGCGATAGTGCTCTGGTGAAAATTAACTGGTAGGGTATGTGATGGTTTTACTAACAGATGGAGACAGGAAAGAGCATTCTTCACAGAGTAAAAGTATAGATGAGAAAAATTCAGGGTTTCTTTAGGAAGCAATGAGTAACTAGTCCGACAGGAATTTTTTTTTTTTTTTTTTTGGTTTTGTGTGTGGGTTTTTGTTGGTGAGGGAGGTTAGGAGAAATAAGGATGAAAAATCAGGATCCAGCTAGACTGGGAGGGTGTTGATTGCTGCTCTAAAGAATTTAGACCTTATTGTCAGGTGCGGTGGCTCACACCTGTAAACCCAGCACTTTGGGAGGCTGAGGCGGGCGGATCACGAGGTCAGGAGATTGAGACCATCCTGGCTAACATGGTGAAACCCCATCTCTACTAAAAATACAAAAAAATTAGCCGGGCATAGTAGTGGGCACCTGTAATCCCAGCTACTCGGGAGGCTGAGGCAGGAGAATGGCGTGAACCCAGGAGGCAGAGCTTTTAGTGAGCTGAGATGGCGCCATTGCACTCCATCCTGGGCGACTGAGTGAGACTCCGTCTCCAAAAAAAAAATTTAGACCTTGTTCTGTACTTCAAGGAAAAGATTTCTTTTGGATAATGACATCAGGTATGTGCTTTGGGAGAGTAATGGCAGCAATATGAAGCCTAGATGGGATGGAGAAAGACAAAAGATGAAAAGGATTACTATGAAATTACTTGGATAGTTAAGGTAGTCCTTGAACTAGGCACACAGATAGTGACTATAGACAAGTGAAGGTACATGAGAGATACTGGAAAGTCATGTTATAATTTAATAATTGCTATTAGCCAGAAAGAGCAAGGCTAGTATCTTGCTTATCACTTACTGTAGCTTGGGAAATTATTTCACCTCTGAGCTTCAGTTTTTAAATTTCAAAAATGATTGTGTAATAGTTTAAAAAGCCCTCGAAGTACCTAGCTCATAATAGGAATTTCGCATGTGACAGATGATACTGTTAACAAAAATAAAAATACACTTCAGTTGGGCTTATTTTTAATAACTTTTAATTCTTGGAATGCTCTGCTTCCCAAATGTGTCTGGCAAAACTGGCTTGATGAAGAGAGCCTTTGTGTGAGACTTTCCCTGCCATTTTTTGTTTTTTTTTCTTTCTTAGTCCAACAGTACCCTAGTAAATCCTCTGTCATCATGCTTCTTACAGTATATAACATTTACCTGTTAATGAATCTGTCTCTGCTGCACTGGACTCCCTCAGGGCAGGGATTCTCCTATCTCTATTTAATATATTTGATGTATAGTATATTGTCAGCTGTTGATGTTGAAGTTGGTGAGTTAAGAGCAAAAGGTGAACAGTAAGCTTTTGAGTTTGGTTGTGGAAAAGTTGATGACATTGGAGTCAGACCTGAGTTCACTGACATTGTTCTTAACCAAACTCAAATCCTCTGGATTATTTTGCGCTGGGTTTTGTAACCTTGGTAAGGTTTACTTAATTCCTCAGATTTCCCCAATTTGTAAAATGAGGGAAAAGAGAAACTATGGAGATGATTTTGTACAAGATTAATTTGATAATACATAATACCTGGTAATGTTGTAAGTGTTCAATAAATTATTATATAGCAGTTATGGAAGGAATGTGATTGGTAGAAGAGGAAAATGAATTGGTTTTGAATATATCGTAGTTTGTAATGAGGACTGGAGTTTAGGAAGGAAGTCAGGGCTAGAGTAGGGACATGGGCATTATCTTCATAGAAATGTTGAAACCATAAAATCAGTATAATTTATGTAGTTGCTGTACACTGTCATTACTTAACGGTGTGATTCAATACGACACACCTGAACTTTCTTAGACTTTTATTTTTTTAGTCAAGTGCAGTAGTGAGAAGGGGGGAAAGAGGAGAACAAGGAAGTTCGATCTGTAACTGACTGAACAATCGAGATAACCCACTACCTTCAGACCAGCCCTTAGATTTTTTAAGAGTTAATCATTCTTACACGTACGATGACTGAAATGTTGTTTCTCCTTGAAGTCTGGTATTAAAAAAAATTGTTGAAATACTAGTATGTCATAATTTTTAATCATCTACTTTATGTCAAGTACTTGAACTGTGCTAGATCATACACCAAATTATCCTGCATTGTTAAGTATATTGATTGACATTATATATTAAATACTGTGCAAGGTGCTGTGTGCTACTAAAAGAGGATACTTCAGCAGCTTCTTTAGGAAATACTAAAGCTTCTTGCCCTTATAGAATTTCCACTTCCTTGGAAGTAACATGCCCAGTTTAATTTCTGATTGGCTATGAGGAGCGCAGGTGTATTAAACATTTTCAGTAAGCTTTTTTCTCCTCAATAGCAAAAATTAGATTCTTAAGATTGAAAGACCAATTAAAAATTACAGCAGACTGAGCTAGGCTTAAGGCAAGACTACCTTTTATTCATATGAATAATCTTTTAGAAAATGCTGGAATAAGACATTTTTACAGCTGTACCAATCCTTTGGCACAAGAATATGTAAGAACTATAGTTGTTTTTATTGGTTTTTGTTCTTGAGATTGTTTTCATTCTGTTTTTGACTGTATCTCTTTAGGAGGCTGAGGATGGCATTATTGCTTATGATGACTGTGGGGTGAAACTGACTATTGCTTTTCAAGCCAAGGATGTGGAAGGATCTACTTCTCCTCAAATAGGAGATAAGGCAAGATAATTCTGCTCATTCGAGAGAGGGTTAAGAGTTGTCATCTTAATCATAAATCCTGCAGGATGGGTTCTTCAAATTTTATCAAGTTTTGCTGAAATATATTTTGTGTTTAAGAGAAATACATGAATATCTTGTATTTGAAAGCAGCTTATTAAAAGTGTCTGTCAAGCTCTTTGTTAATCAAAGCCTTGTTAATCTAGCTGTTTAAACGTTAGATAAAACATGCTTAATAAAATCGTTATTGGTAAGAAAGTTAAAACAGTTACTACTGAAACATTATCAAAGTAAAAGCACACCAAAGATTTTACGTTGTTGTTCATTTTTTCTCATACTTAATATGTTTGGTTTTTGGATAGCCCTCTAGAGAAATTCAGAATCTATAAGGAATACAGACTGAAAGATAAAAGTTTGATCCTTTGTGAAAAGTGGGATGAGACATAAATGTTTTGGTGAAAATCAATTTCATTGAAGTAATAACAAAGGATATTTGGAATGAAAAGCATGCGCTGGGGGAGTTATAGGTCTTGTTTTCTGAGTTAAGGAGATTGGTGTGGAAGTGATATGGTGTTAATGAGCATCCTTAATTTTCACAGGTTGAATTTAGTATTAGTGACAAACAGAGGCCTGGACAGCAGGTTGCAACTTGTGTGCGACTTTTAGGTCGTAATTCTAACTCCAAGAGGCTCTTGGGTTATGTGGCAACTCTGAAGGATAATTTTGGATTTATTGAAACAGCCAATCATGATAAGGAAATCTTTTTCCATTACAGGTAAGGCGTGACTTTCAGGAACTTTACAGCTAACTTACCATCCATTCTTTGGTGTTGGAATAAAAAACATTTAGTATTGATTGATTATACTTGTTGAGGTTCAGATTTCATATTGGTAGAATTATGGCAAGATATAAACTGAAGTTAATCACTGATCTTACTATATACAGAGCCTGTGGCCAAAAGAAATAGAAAGGCCTGTGCCACCTTATTTTTTGTGTTGGTACCATAGAGTTGGCCATTTGGTGTATAATGTAGTGTAAGAGTAAGGGGTCTGACTGGGTGTGGTGGCTCATGCCTATAATCCCAGCACTTTGGGGGCTGAGGCAGGTGGATCCCTTGAGCCCAGGAGTTCGAGGCCAGCCTGAGCAACACGGTGAAACTCCATCTCCACAAAAATTACCAAAATTAGCCTGACATGGTGGTGCATACCTGTAGTCTCACCAACTCAGGAGGCTGATGTGGGAGGACCACTTGATCCTGGGAGGCAGAGGTTGCAGTAAGCTGAGATCGCACCACTGTACTCCAGCCTAGCCAACAGAGTGAGACTCTGTCTCAAAAAAAAAAATAGAAAGTAAGGGTTCTTAGAACCAGACAGTTCAGTTTTTGAATCCAGGCCCTGCCACTTTATACCTGTGTAATTTTTACCAAATAACTTCTTGGTATCTTAGTTTCATTATCCTGAAGTTAGGGATAATGTTACCTCTTCATGGGGCATTCTTGAGGATTAAATGAGTCAATACATAGAAATTACTTAAAATGGTGTCTAATGTAAATAAGCATGCCATGCCATGACTGTTACTGTAAAATAAAGACTGCCTGTTACTGTTGATGTTTATGGTAATGTTTAGTTAAATGTCATTTCCTTTCTCCTTAGTGAGTTCTCTGGTGATGTTGATAGCCTGGAACTGGGGGACATGGTCGAGTATAGCTTGTCCAAAGGCAAAGGCAACAAAGTCAGTGCAGAAAAAGTGAACAAAACACACTCAGGTAATAAATTGTGACTTCTTATTCAGCCTGTGCTTTTAAGTGGGAGATAAAGGATGGAGTAGTAGAGGGAGATGAGGCCTAATTATTCTACATCAGTCATTCTCATGTGCGATTCCATAGAACAGCAGCATCACCTGGTTGCTTGTTAGAAATATACGTTCTCTGACCCTATCCCATACCCACTGAAACTCTGTGAGTGGGCATTCTTTTTTAATAAATCCTTTAGGTGATTCTGGTATACACTGAAGTTTGAGAAGGATTGGCCTAGATATTTTAGGAAATTTGCTTTATATTTTCAATTCATTGTCTTCTTTTGAAAAATAAACCCAGGATAGCCAGCTGTGGTAGTGGATGCCTGTAGTCACAGTTACTTGGGAGGCTGAGGTGGGAGGGCCGCTTGTGCTGGTAGGTTGAGACTGCAGTGAGCCATGATGATCCTACCACTGCACTCCAACCTGGGTGACAGAGCAAGACTGTCTGAAAAAAACAAAAATAACCCCAAGATATGTATACATCACCATGGAGTAGGGAAGAGAGGCATTTCCCTAGAAGATTGTTTTGAAGAAGAATGAATCTAAATGTGAAAAATAATGGGAAGTTAAAAAAATTAATTGTAATTTAGGATCTTGGATCTCTGACTTTAAAAGACCTGCAACTTATTTTTGGCTCTCATCTGAACTCTTAAGTGTGTGTTATGTTTTAGACACTGGGGATACAGCAGTGAAGAAATCAGATACATCCCTGTATTCATTGACCTTATTTTTTGGTGGAAAATATGGGGCAGACTAGAGGAGTAAAATACTGTATATGATGTTTAGAAAGACAACAATACATGTAATAAAGATGAATCAGGACAGTATGTAAGTATTGTGATTTACATTTTAGAGACCAGGAAAGGCTTCTTAAAAAATGACATATGGTCACCTGGAAAAAGTAAGAGATCAAGGCATGTTTTATTTATGAATACTTATTAATTCCTTAAACAATTTTATTTAAACAATTCTATTTAGGAAAAGCAGGCATTTTGGTAGTTTAGAAGTATTTAAAGTCCAGCAGCTGTTCTAAAAATAGAACTTGGCTTCAGGTTCCCTACCCCATTTCAATAGCAGCCAGCCAACCTACCCTGTTAACATTTGTGCTGTTATTTTTTGCTTACTTGTCTTTCTATGTAGTAGAGATGAAATAAAATTGAAAGATGTACCTGCCTTTGTTTTGTAGTGAATGGCATTACTGAGGAAGCTGATCCCACCATTTACTCTGGCAAAGTAATTCGCCCCCTGAGGAGTGTTGATCCAACACAGACTGAGTACCAAGGAATGATTGAGATTGTGGAGGAGGGTAAGGATCATCACTATCAGGCTGTTTGAAATTTGCCATAACTTCAGATGAGCACCTATAAAGTTTTAAAATATGGTGCTTATTGCAGTTGTTTTTAGGTTTAAAACTGAATTAAGGAAAAGTGACCTCTCTCATGCTTGCTTTTTATTTTTATACCCCTTGAAAATGAGGTCAGTCTGGGTTTAAATAGTGAAAACGTGACTGCTTTGTGAGCACATGACTGATACATGAGCAACTATGAGTTATATTGAGATAGACTTAACAACAAACTCTGATAACCAAAGCTTTTACTGTTGAGTGTATGATAATCAAATATTCAGTTCCTTCATTAGTATTTAAATCAGTAAGCATTCAGTTCTGTATTTTTGCTTCCTGTAAAAGTTTACTGTTTTTTTCCCCCCTACACTACACATATGTACATAATCTGTTTCTTAATAGCTAGAGTTCTATGAGGATCCTATTTCTCGTTTCTAGCTCAGGCTTCCTTTCATTCTCTACTTTCTTCTTCTTTTTTCCCCATCTATCTTCAAGAATTCCCAGAGTTCCAGTGCCGCTGTTCCCCCAACAGTCACCATCAGAAAGGCCAACTTTGTATGATCTGTATGCATAAAATAAATACATGATAGAAATAGGAGAGAACTCTGTAGATGATTAGGATAGCAGAATTACATGATGTGGAGTAGATGAGAGGGCTTGAGTATTCCAACCAAAGATGATGGCTTGGTAGGCCGGGCGTGGTGGTTCACGCCTGTAATCCCAGCACTTTGGGAGGCTGAGGCGGGCGGATCACGAGGCCAGGAGTTCGTGACCAGCCTGGCCAGCATGGTGAAACCCCGTCTCTACTATTAAAAAAACTAATAATAAAAAAATTTTAAAAAGAAAAGATGATGGCTTGGTTTACAAAGAGAATAAAGTCCTTGCATCATCTAAGAGTCAGCGAACATAAAGTGCTGAATAGCAGGTCATTTGGGAGAAGGAAATGAACCTTGATAACCTATTCCTTTACCACATGGGATTCTTAGAATTTCTGTTCTACATAAAACCACTGTTCTCCCACCTCTAAATATGAATTTTTAAACAAATGCCATGACATCACACCCCTAAAAAGGCCATGGGAGTATGGACTACTAACTTTAACTCATAATATGATATCAAATTGCCCTTCCATCTCCTAACGTGCTGCTTTTACTTCCTTTTCCATCCCCACTTCCCAGTCCACTCATTCTTCAGCACTGGCTGTGGGATATAGTCCAAAGCAAGGGTTTTATTTAGGCATCTCTAAGCCTGGTGGGATATAGTCCAAAGCAAGGGTTTTGTTTAGGCATCTCTAAGCCCGGGACTAGACAGATTACATTTTCCCACTTGGTAAGAACTAGCTCTTTTATTCAGGAACACAACTGTAACTTATACTAAGACTTTGAAGTTGGGCAGACCTAGATCTGGACACCGTTCTAGCATATAATCTTGGACAAATAACTTAAATCTTTGCTAGCTCAGTTTCTTCATCTTTAAAATGGTAATACCTTCAGCCTTAGATGGTTCTATAAAGTATGAATCAGTATGTGCATCATAAATGGTAATTATTGATATTGCATGAGGTCAGACCAGCTTCCTCTAATCACTCTTCCCATGACTTGATCTCTTTGGATTATCTCCTCAAAGTTTTTTGGTTCCTGTATTTAAAATTAAAAGTCAGCTGGGGTCGAGAGTAGGGGCTCACACCTGTAATCCCAGCACTTTGGGAAGCCAAGGCAGGCAGATCACCTGAAGGTCAGGAGTTCGAGACCAGCCTGGCCAACATGGCGAAACCCTGTCTCTCCTAAAAATACAAAAATTAGCCAGGTATCATGGTGGGTGCCTATAATCCCAGCTACTTCAGAGGCTGAGGCAGGAGAATCACTTGAACCTGGGAGGCGGAAGTTGCAGTGAGCTGAATCATGCCACTGAACTCCAGCCTGGTTAACAGAGCATGACTCCGTCTCAAAAAAAAAAAAAAAAGTCAGGTGTGGTGGCTCACACCTGTAAACCCAACACTTCGGGAGGCCAAGGTGGGCAGATCACTTGAGCCCAGGAGTTTGAGACCAGCCTGGGCAACATGGCAAAACCCTGTCTCTACAAAAAATGCAAAAATTAGCCAGTCATGGTGTGTGCCTGTAGTCCCAGCGACTCAGGAGCTGAGGTGGGAGGATCACCCGAGCCCAGGAAATCAAGGCTGCAGTGAGCCGTTGATCGCCACTGCACTCCAGCCTGGGTAGCAGAGCGAGACCCTGTCTCAACAATAACAATGACAAAAATTCTTCACTTACCCTGTAATCATCAAGAGGATGGTTAGAAGCTTCTGCTTCCCACCTGTTTTTCTCATGTTTTCCACTATTGTTGACTGAGTACATTTGCCTGGATGCTGAAAATTGTTAGGCAGCTGAATTCTTTGGCATAGTTTTTATCTGTAGCCTGCACCGGGCTCCAGGCAACTTCATACTGTAGGGCAGGGCTCAGCATATATGGTGGCCTTTTCTTGTGATCACAGCCACAACCATTTGTTTACATATTGTTTTTCGTTGCTTTCTCACTACAACAGCAGAGTTGGTTAGACAGGATGACTTGCAAACCTAAAATAATACTCTCCGGCCCTTTAGGAAAATGGTTTTTGGTCTCTGATCTGGAAAAAGGAACCTATGTGAGGGAGCCAGAATTCGAACAAAAAAAAAGGAGGTGGGGTGTCAAATTTATCTAAATTGTTTTTGCCTGTGCCCGCCTAGTTGTTTACTGGCTCATTGAGTATGGGACAAAAGTATTTTTGGTTGGCTCATATTGTGAACTTGGGAAGAAGATAGTCCTGTGAATATTGGCAACCCATAGTGCTTAAAATTTAGGCAATGGGATTGTAAATGACAGTATTTTTTGTTTTAATTTATAAATGCAGTTTAAAATTGTTCATCAGCTAATAAAGTACTGATGGGAGCTGTGACATTCTCATTTGGTTCCATGGTAGTATTTAACATTTAGGATTTCATTTAAGCTTTAAGGTGAAACTTCTGAGTACTGAAAATGTAAATATATTTTAAGTAACATAACACATTTTTAGCAGTTATATAAACTTCCTAGGGTCATCAGCAGAGGACTGTTGTGAAATACTAGCTTTTAGACTTTGTACCTGTTTTACAGGCGATATGAAAGGTGAGGTCTATCCATTTGGCATCGTTGGGATGGCCAACAAAGGGGATTGCCTGCAGAAAGGGGAGAGCGTCAAGTTCCAATTGTGTGTCCTGGGCCAAAATGCACAAACTATGGCTTACAACATCACACCCCTGCGCAGGGCCACAGTGGAATGTGTGAAAGATCAGGTAAGTGCCAGCATCTCTGTATCTGAATTTGATCCTTCTATGAGTTGGTAACCAAAACCTTCAAATATTTTCAGCCAAGGGGAAATCATCAACATTCATTCGTTTTTTTATTTCTACTTCACCTTTTTTCAGTCATTTGAGGTAGCTTAATAAAAACAGAAAACTACACAAAAAGTGACTATATTAGCAATGAGAAAGTAAGATTGGTATTAGTAACTAATATTATGCAATGGGGAAAATAAGTTAGGGGTGAGATTTCCAGAATAGAAGGACTATATGGTTTTGTACACTTTTGCTTAGAGCTTCTTTTGCATATCACACAAACACAGAAACCACGTTCAAAAGTACTTAAAAAATAAGCTTAGGGCAAACAAACTTAGTCTTACTCCTGAGATCTCAGGGAAATCTGAGTCCTCAGAATGTTTTTCATCAGTACAGAGAATAATAACATTTTGTATGGCTGCTACTATAACCCAGCTTAATTCTAGAGGGGATCCAAACAATATATATGTTGAAGTAACAGCTTCCTGATGAGTTTGCTTAATTCAAAAAGCTTAGTTCATAATATACGAAGGAACAAGGCAAGTTTTATTTGTTTGGTTCAAGTTTGTGATATAGTGAATGGCACTTTCAGAGATACATTTCTTCCCTGACAGGTTTTGCCACAGGCAGCTGGACTGGAGTATCAACATTAATACCATGTTTTATACATCCTTTTAGATAGGGGCAGGCATTGTGCTTCATTCAGAGTGAGGTGTGGCATGCCCTCTCTTTTTTACCTACTTTTTTTTTTCAGTTTGGCTTCATTAACTATGAAGTAGGAGATAGCAAGAAGCTCTTTTTCCATGTGAAAGAAGTTCAGGATGGCATTGAGCTACAGGCAGGAGATGAGGTGGAGTTCTCAGTGATTCTTAATCAGCGCACTGGCAAGTGCAGCGCCTGTAATGTTTGGCGAGTCTGGTGAGTTTTGTTGTTGTGGTTTGATTAGTAACTACCCTGGAGTGTCTCAACTTTATAGTCTCTGTTTTGTCACATCACTTTTCTGTGCCTTGTCTTCTGCCACTTATTATTTCTTGATACTTCCTACTTCTAGTTGAATACAAAAAGATTGTTTAGTACATGTTTTTTAAAATTTTTGCCAAATTCTTCTTCTTCCATTAAGTCATTTCTAGGTTATATGCTACTTAAAATTCTAATAGTTTAGCCATGCTGATTCATAATGCCGCTTTGCTTCCCCAGAGACAGTCTCACAGTCTGATTCGGTTACCCAGGCGCTATCACGACTCACTGCAGACTCAACCCCCTGGGCCTAAGCAATTCTCCCACGTCAGCTTCCCCAGTAGCTGGGACTACAAGCATGCGCCACCACATGCAGCCAATTTTATTTTTTGTAGAGACATGGTCCCACTGTTTTGCCCAGGCTGATCTCGAACTTCTGGGCTCAAGTGTTCCTCCTGCCCTGTCCTCTCAAAGCGCTGGGATTACAGGTGTTAGCTACCACATCTGCTACCTTGTTTTTTTATGCATCTGTGGAACTGGTCACTCTTGATTGCATTCAAGTCTAGGGTCTGCAAATGATTCCTTCCATTCCTATTAAGTTGGGACCTTGAGTTGGGGATAATAATACATAAACAAACTTGTCTGTCCTGTCTTTCTAGCTAGGTATATGAGGCAAGAGTCCCATCATAAAAAGTGAGTCATTTGGGCAGTTAGGTGGAAAACACACTCCTTTGCAAGTGCTTGCTGTCTGCCCACCAAGTGTGGTTTCTTCTCATCTTTTGACTTAATTACAGTGAGGGCCCCAAGGCTGTTGCAGCTCCTCGACCTGATCGGTTGGTCAATCGCTTGAAGAATATCACTCTGGATGATGCCAGTGCTCCTCGCCTAATGGTTCTTCGTCAGCCAAGGGGACCAGATAACTCAATGGTATGAGGGCATACAAGGCTTGGGGGAGGCCAACTGATAGACCAACATAAAATATGTGGTCCTATTTAAACAATAGGTCAGGAAACTTAATGAAGCAGGGAGACTTCCATATTGCTTATAACTAGTTAGGACTTTCTACACATTGGTTCAGCCCCCTAACCTAATGGTTGCTTACAGTAAGAAGCACATTTCTTTTCTTGATGCTTTGAAGACAGTTTAGGTAATGAATGGGTCAGGAGTGCTTACTGTGGATTTTCTCCTCTAGGAAAGAATTAGTACTGCATAAGATGATTAAAAATAATGCTTTTGTAGTTTCATTTCGGAATAGTGAATGTACTATGATTGTTGTGCGCTCAAATCATTAACTGCAGGGTTTTTTTTTTCTCCCCCCCACAGGGGTTTGGTGCAGAAAGAAAGATCCGTCAAGCTGGTGTCATTGACTAACCACATCCACAAAGCACACCATTAATCCACTATGATCAAGTTGGGGGGAATCTGGTGAAGGGTTCTGAATATCTCCCTCTTCATCCCTCCCGAAATCTGGAATACTTATTCTATTGAGCTATTACACCAGTTTTAACACCTTCCTCGTGTTATGTTTAAAAAAATAAATAAATTTAAGAAAACCATTTTAAATAATGCACAGTTGCAGCCTGGAAAAACTTAAGGTGGCGCCTTATAGTATCAATTTTAGGAGCTTTATTTGGTGCATTTAACGCAACTGGTAATTGCAGAATCCACTTTGCCTGTGTAAGTGAAAAATATAGACTGTTATCTTGTTGGCCCTATGAAATTCTGCACTTTTCATTATATACTCTACCTTCATTAATTACTTCTGGCAAGATGTTCTGCCTTAGCACTCAGTTGCATTCTTTTCCTTTTTCTTCCTGTTCATTATGCTTTAATTCTGAGGACCATATGAGGGTAGAATATATTATCTTTTAAAAATTACAAAAATTTGTATAGGCAAACCATTTCTTAAAGTTGATGGCCAAATTTTAAAATGTTATTTTTCATATCATTTATAATCTTGTCACAATCCACTTAAAGAAGTTTGGTTATATTTCAGTGAAAATTTTCTTCCAGAGTAGGTTTTTTTTCGTGGGTTGGGGGGTAACTTTACTACAATTAGTAAGTATGGTGCAGAATTTCATGCAAATGAGGAGTGCCAGCAGTGTGATAATTTAAACATATTTAAACAAAAACAAAAAAAATGAATGCACAAACTTGCTGCTGCTTAGATCACTGCAGCTTCTAGGACCCGGTTTCTTTTACTGATTTAAAAACAAAACAAAAAAAAATAAAAAAGTTGTGCCTGAAATGAATCTTGTTTTTTTTTATAAGTAGCCGCCTGGTTACTGTGTCCTGTAAAATACAGACACTTGACCCTTGGTGTAGCTTCTGTTCAACTTTATATCACGGGAATGGATGGGTCTGATTTCTTGGCCCTCTTCTTGAATTGGCCATATACAGGGTCCCTGGCCAGTGGACTGAAGGCTTTGTCTAAGATGACAAGGGTCAGCTCAGGGGATGTGGGGGAGGGCGGTTTTATCTTCCCCCTTGTCGTTTGAGGTTTTGATCTCTGGGTAAAGAGGCCGTTTATCTTTGTAAACACGAAACATTTTTGCTTTCTCCAGTTTTCTGTTAATGGCGAAAGAATGGAAGCGAATAAAGTTTTACTGATTTTTGAGACACTAGCACCTAGCGCTTTCATTATTGAAACGTCCCGTGTGGGAGGGGCGGGTCTGGGTGCGGCCTGCCGCATGACTCGTGGTTCGGAGGCCCACGTGGCCGGGGCGGGGACTCAGGCGCCTGGGGCGCCGACTGATTACGTAGCGGGCGGGGCCGGAAGTGCCGCTCCTTGGTGGGGGCTGTTCATGGCGGTTCCGGGGTCTCCAACATTTTTCCCGGCTGTGGTCCTAAATCTGTCCAAAGCAGAGGCAGTGGAGCTTGAGGTAAGTTTATCTCATGCATAGTGTTCGGCTTTGGGCTGTGGAATGTTCAGGCGTTTCACTGATGCCAGAAATGGAGCAGAATCTATCAGCTGGAGACAAAGGCCTTGGGCGGGGGTCCTTCCATTTGGTGCCTACGTGGGGAGATCTTTGGAGACAGAAGGGAGAATGGGAAGGAGTTGCGGCCTGGAGGCTTCCTGCTAGAGCTGAGAAGCCTTCGGGGAGTAATAGGAAGGGGGATTTCCATTGCTTAGGCTGAGGGCGGGGCCCAAGGACTGTTGAAAAATAGCTAAGGATGGGGGTTGCTAGAAAACTACTCCAGAAGTGTGAGGCCGATATTAATCCGGTGTTTTTGCGTTCTCTAGTCACTTTAAGAACCAAATGGAAGGTCACACTAGGGTTTTCATTTCCATTGATTATAGAAAGCTTTAAAGTACTGTAGATGTGGCTCGCCAATTAACCCTGATTACTGGTTTCCAACAGGTTCTTGCTGGTGTGAAATGACTGAGTACAAACTGGTGGTGGTTGGAGCAGGTGGTGTTGGGAAAAGCGCACTGACAATCCAGCTAATCCAGAACCACTTTGTAGATGAATATGATCCCACCATAGAGGTGAGGCCCAGTGGTAGCCCGCTGACCTGATCCTGTCTCTCACTTGTCGGATCATCTTTACCCATATTCTGTATTAAAGGAATAAGAGGAGAGAAAGTAAAAAGTTATTTTGGGTATACATTCAGTTATGCAATAAGCTTAACGTGTTTATAGAGAACAGTTCATTTTTATTAGCTGCTGAAGTTTCTAAAACCTGTCCAGTTTTTAACAGTTCTGTAAACTATTGCAAACTCAGTGTTGAGTTCATTCATGAGTTTCTTCATATATAACAGCTCTATTACATGAGAAACACAGGCCATAGTAGCGAGACTGTCTGATTGTATGGGAGATAATAGGATGGAGATAAAGGATTCAGAGATGAGTGTTCTTCAATATTTATTTATTAGCTAGTTGAAGCAGCTGAGACCAGATGATTGGAGTAGCAAGAACTTGAGATTTTTAGTCTTTATGCCTAGGATTTTGGTCCCTGTTTGCAGTTTATTTAGTTGTGTGATATTGAGCAACTGAATCTCTCCCAACCTCATTTTCCTCATGTTTTAAATTACCATAAACTTGTCCTGCCTACCACACAGGGATGTTATGGAAAGTTAAATAATATATTTAAGTTATTTATGAATGGTAAAGCACTATGTAATAGTACTTAGGGATTCTATTGTTATTATGAGAGTTCATGGTACAGATTGTCTTCAGTAAGTGGCACCTAAGGCTCTTTAAATAAAGGGTTTTGCCGGACACGGTGGCTCACGCCTGTAATCCCAGCACTTTGGGAGGCTGAGGCAGGCGGATCACAAGGTCAGGAGTTCAAGACCAGCCTGATCAACATGGTGAAACCCCGTCTCTACTAAAAATACAAAAATTAGCTGGGTGTGGTGGCAGGCACCTGTAATCCCAGCTACTCAGGAGGCTGAGGCAGGAGAATCGCTTGAACCAGAGGCAGAGGGTGCAGTGAGCCGAGATCACACCACAGACCTCCAGCCTGGGCAACAGAGCGAGACTTCGTCTCAAAAAATAAATAAATAGATAAATAAATAAAGGGTTTTGTAATTTTGTTCAGTTTAGAAATGCCTAACTTTAGAGATTATTTTAATCAACACCTGGCCTCCCTACCATCTGGCTACTCGTGTTTAATTGATGAAAACTAACTCTAATGTAGCCACTATAAAAAATTGGTTGCTAACCCTTGGCAAAATCTTTATTTTGAGCTTAACAGCTTTAATATTTTACATGAAATGTTTAATATTTTAATTAAATATTTTTAAATGTTTGATTTATTGAGCAATTTACATAAGTAAAATACATAAATTTTATGTCTACAGCCCAGTGCTTTTTGCGTTTCTATATAGTCATGTAGCTACCACCCAGATAACAGTATAGAGCACTTCCAGTACTCCAGAGAGTTCTCCAAGTGTGATGACATTAAAATACAAGTAAAAGTCCTGTTGCCATAAAACCAAAATGAAAGTATTTTTTATATGATCTATGCATGTTTGTCTTCCTGAGAAATTAAACATAACTATACCTTGTTTGGAACCTTTAAGAATTTGATTCAGGAATATTTCCCAAAGGTACATCTGTCATGATAAAAAAAAAACCTTCTCTGAAACAAAGGTATTTGTATATTTAGTCATAAACACAAATGATGTATATAGGGCCAGGTTATAATTGGTGGAGGTATGTTTAGATTTCTTTAAGTAAAATAAACAGCACAAATAAAACAGTCCAGTTCATAGCTTAGTGAAATACACTGGGTACTTAATCTGTAGCCTCCTGGCTGCAGTAGAGTTGTCATTTGAGTTACTGTGTTTTCTTAATCTTTTCCAGGAACACAGTGACCATATTTCTTTTCTGCAGGCATATAGAATTTGGTGGGTTTTCTTTTATGTAGGGTGATATTGGATACTTTTTGTTTGTGATTATATATTAGCAATTTGAGGGACAAACCAGATAGGCAGAAATGGGCTTGAATAGTTAGATGCTTATTTAACCTTGGCAATAGCATTGCATTCCCTGTGGTTTTTAATAAAAATTGAACTTCCCTCCCTCCCTGCCCCCTTACCCTCCACACCCCCAGGATTCTTACAGAAAACAAGTGGTTATAGATGGTGAAACCTGTTTGTTGGACATACTGGATACAGCTGGACAAGAAGAGTACAGTGCCATGAGAGACCAATACATGAGGACAGGCGAAGGCTTCCTCTGTGTATTTGCCATCAATAATAGCAAGTCATTTGCGGATATTAACCTCTACAGGTACTAGGAGCATTATTTTCTCTGAAAGGATGATCTTTGTGTTCTGAATCTTTATGGGGAAATGAGGTTACCACACTAGGGAAGATAGAGCTTTTTAATTATGGGAAGAGTTGGTTTTAGGTTGTTTGACATTGAGAATCTAGGGTAATTACTGAAAGTTAATACTGGAATTTATTTTACATAATATACTGTTACTATAAAGTTTGATAATACATAAGTGAAGCTTGCTACTGGGAATGACTTGGAACCAGAGTTGTTGTAATTAGAGATCACGAAGGAATTTCAGAGAGGAAAACATCTCCAAGAAACATCTTTCAGTATGTAATGGAAAAGATAGGCCAGGCACAGTGGCTCACACCTGGAATGTCAGTGCTTTGGGAGGCCAAGGCGGGAGGATCACTTTCAGCCCAGGAGTTGGAGACCAGCCTGGGCAACAGAGCAAGACCCTGTCTCTACAAAAATAAAAATAAAAAAATTAGTCACACATGGTGGCAGCTACTCGGGAGGCAGAGGTGGGAGGATCACGTGAGCTCAGGAGGTCGAGGCATGCTCACTCCACTGCACTGCTGCACTCCAGCCTAATCAACAGAGCAAGATTCTGTCTCCAAAAAAAATAAAAAATAAAATGATAGGAGTAAGCAAATAGGAAGTCCATAAAGATGAAAACAAAGCAAGGGAACATAAAGATAGACTTTGTCCATAGAACCATAAAGTTTCAAAGCTAGATTGGACCATAAAAATTCTAGTACAATATTCTTATTTTGCAGAATCAGAAACAGAGTTCAGAATGTCGTTTGTTAGGTTTTGGAGTCAGGATTGTTATTAGTAGCAGAGCCAGGACCAAAAACCCAAAGCTCCTTTTTCTTAGCACAGTGTTCTTAAACAGAATAATATAATGGTTAAGAATGAGAACTCTGCCTGGATTGAAACCTAGCTCTGTTTATTAGCGACGTGACTCAGGGGCTATGTGGCTTTCCTAACCTATAATATGGAAATAATAATACCTACCTCATAGAGTTGTGAAGATTACAGTTTTAATAAATACGCAAATCACTCAGAATAGTGCCTGGCACACAGTAAATGCTACTTAAGTGTTCTGCCTAAAGGCTTGAGTCTTGGCTTATTTTCTATCCATGTGAAGATGTCTGCTCTCAAAAGCAGATTGGTCCAACACTGAATTCAAGTGTTCTTTTCCTAACCTGTTGTACTTCCCATTTTTTTTTTGTCTAAAAGTAATAGCAGTACTTAATAAAATGCCCACACTTGGCATGCATCTAATAAATGTTTTTTGAATTTCTAGAAGTCATTTTTCTTCTTTCTTACAAGAAATTTATTCATTTTTCTATATGCCTTAGCTCAAACCAAAGAGTATTTAAAACATCTTATGAAAATGCATATAGTAGAGCAAGATAAGATTAATGAAAAATAGGCTTAAGTGAGACCAAAAAAATAAGGGTAAAATAAACAAATTTAGGAGTGAGCATATTCTGTGATTGTGCATGAAGTTCCAGTGGCTTTCTAAAGGTGGACTACAAATTTGGTCACTGTTGTGAAAAGGAAAGTAGCCAGCTGAAAGATTCAGTATCTGTATGCTGAAAGCCGTTAAGTTGCTCGGACTAGAAGGAAATTTTCCCATGGATCCTCAAAGAGGCTTGTTTAATGTAAAAATCAGTAGTAACCTGACAGTGACATGGTCCAGGTACTTTAGGCTGTCTTATCCCTTAATGTAGGCTATTACCATCAAGCACAGTTTTGCAAATAGCCAGTGGAATGTAGTTCAGATACATGACTTTGTGGGTAATCCAGGGGTAGAGACTAAAACAGTACTGTGCAGTATGTGGTTATTTACAGTTAATTAAGATTAAATAAAATTTAAAAATTAGTTCCTTGACTACCAAATGCTCAATAGCCACTAGTAGGTACCATGTTGAACAGTACAGATATAGACCATTTCCATCATCACATAAAGTACTGTTGGATTGTGTTGGTCAAGACAATCTAAAGCAATTGTTTCCCAGGTGTGCTGTGTGGTGTGCCTTACATGTCATTGAAAGGGGTGCTGTCAGGAGTTCTAGATGCTTCAGCCTCCCTTTACTAAGAGCAGTTCTTATGTTTTCTATTTTATCGCTTGGGCTTCCAGATACAATGTTTTGTTTTAGGTTTGTTTTTTTTGTTTGTTTGTTTTTTTTTTTTTGAGACGGAGTTTTGCTCTGGTTGCCCAAGCTGGATGGAGTACGGTGGTGCGATCGCGGCTCACTGCAACCTCCGCCTCCCGGGTTCGAGAGATTCTCCTGCCTCAGCTTCCCGAGTAGCTGGAATTACAGGCGTCCACCACCATGCCTGACTAATTTTTTTTGTATTTTTAGTAGACTTGGGGTTTCACCATGTTGGCCGGGCTGGTTTCAAACTCCTGACCTCAGGTGATCCACCCGCCTCGGCCTCCCAGAGGGCTGGGATTACAGGTGTGAACCACCGTGCCCGGCCTGTTTTAGTTTTTTAGAGATGGAGTCTCCCTCTGTTGCCCAAGCCAGAGTGCGGTGGCATGACACTCTCAGGGTTCAACCTCTCAGGGATCAAGGGATCCTCCCACCTCAGCTTCCTGAGTAGCTGGAACCACAGGCACATGTGCCACCATGCCCAGCTAATTTTTGTATTTTTTGTAGAAGCAAGGTTTCACCATGTTGCCCAGGCTGGTCTCGGACTCCTAGGTCAAGTGATCCTCCCACCTCAATCTCCTAGAGTGCTAAGACTATAGGCGGGAGTCACCATGCCCAGCTTCATCTACAATTTATTTGAAGAAAATGTTTGAGCACCACCCATCTTGAAAAGTGATAGACTGCCTTCCATTAAATACTGTCACACCTAGTTATTTAGCAGCAGTGAGCTTCACTTTTTATACTTTAGACCTTAATCTAAAGGGTGATTTCTAGTTGCCAGTTAAATCCAGAGCCAAGCTCTTTGGAGAATCCAGGAGCCTCACTAGGTCATGTATCAGGATAAAATACCCATCCACTCCCATTAGAAGGTGAGCTTGTACTTATGGCTTCCTGATGGCTGCTGCAACAAGTCTAAAGCAGTCTCCTTAGTATACAATGTCTTCTCTAAGTGGTAGAAAAAAGCAAAAATACTACAAGTTAATAGGGCTACATAAAATTTGCTAGTTTCTTTTTTGCCCTAGCCATTTATTCCTTCCTGAAATCTTGTCTCTCTCTCGCTCTCTCTTTCTCTCGCTCTCACTTTCTTTCTCTTTTTCTTTTCTCTTTTCTTTTCTTTCTTCCCTTTCTTTTCTTTCTTTTTTCCTGTTGCCCAGGCTGGAGTGCAGTGGAACAATTATGGCTCACTGCAGCCTTGACCTTTCTGGACCCAGGTGATCCTCCCACCTCAGTCTCCCAATTAGCTGGGACTACAGGCATGCGCCACCACACCCAGCTATAATATATATTGTATATATATTTTTTATTTATAAATATATATAAATATATATTTATATGTGTAAATTATATATATTTATATATTATAAATTATATATAAATATATATTTATATATAATATATATAATATATATTTATTTTTATATATTTTATATATATTTTTTGGGGGGGGTTGGGGGGGATGGAGTCTCACTCTGTCGCCCAGGCTAGAGTGTAGTGGCGTGATCTTGGCTCACTGCAATCTTCGCCTCCCAGGTTCAAGCGATTCTCCTGCCTCAGCTTCCCGAGTAGCTGGGACTATAGGCGCCTGCCACCACACCTGGCTAATTTTTGTATTTTTAGTAGAGATGGGGTTTCACCATATTGGCCAGGCTGGTCTTCAACTCCTGACCTTGTGATCTGCCCACCTCAACCTCCCAAAGTGCTGGGAATACAGGCATGAGCCACTGCACCCAGCCTAATCTTTGTATTTTTTTGTAGAGACCGGGTTTTGCCATGTTGCCCAGGCTAATCTCAAACTCCTGGGTTCAAGCAGTCTGCCCTCCTCAGCCTCCCAAAGTGCTGAGATTGCAGGCATGAGCCACTGTACCCAGCCTAATCTTGTTTTTCTTATGTTCTGATAATATATTCCCGTTTTTAGGGAGCAGATTAAGCGAGTAAAAGACTCGGATGATGTACCTATGGTGCTAGTGGGAAACAAGTGTGATTTGCCAACAAGGACAGTTGATACAAAACAAGCCCACGAACTGGCCAAGAGTTACGGGATTCCATTCATTGAAACCTCAGCCAAGACCAGACAGGTATGGTACAGCTTTCAGCATTTGTGCAAGAGTTTGCATCAGTTGATTAACTCTGGTAGAGATGTGATCCATATTCATATTCTTTGTTGTTATGCATTTTTTTCATTTTTATTTTTTTATTTTTTATTTTTTTTTAGGCAGAGTCTCACTCTATCTTCTAAGCTGGAGTGCAGTGGTGTGATCTCAGCTCACTGCAGCCTCTGTCTCTTGGGTTCAAGTGATTCTCCTGCCTCAGCCTCCCAAGTAGCTGGGACTACGGGCACATCATCATGCCCGGCTAATTTTTGTACTTTTAGTAGAGACAGGGTTTTACCATGTTGCCCAGGCTGGTCTCGAACTCCTGGCCTCAAGCAATCCTCCCACCTGGGCCTCCCAGAGTGCTGGGATTACAGGTGTGAGCCACCACGCCCAGCCTGTTGTTAGGCATTTTTAGTAGTGTTCTTTTTCTTAACGCTTGTTTAAACCCAAAATGAACTTACTAATATTCTGTTATGGCATGTTTACTCCTGCATTAACATCCACAAATATTTCTTGGGAAGATCCTTGACTAAAAATATTTATAAACATTAGTTATTTCTCTGTCAACACCAGCCCGTTTATGGCTTAAGCCTCCTGAATGGAGTCTTTAGTTTAATGTAGTTTTGTTCCGTGTTTCTCACATTACCCTTTTCCTTTGCATGAATGTTTATTTGGCAAAATGTGCCATTTTTATATCAGCCTGTTCTTGTGATTCAATAGGAATGTGAAATTTAGTGTTCTCTTCCTTAAATCACCATATTTTATTTTATCAGCTATTCGTTTAGTAATTGGAATCTTATGTCCACATAAAGAGATACAAATGCAAGAGAGCTTATAATTTGGATTGTGTCCGTTGAGCTAGCTCTCTCATTTTTTTTCATTTTTTCCTTTTATAGGGTGTTGAAGATGCTTTTTACACACTGGTAAGAGAAATACGCCAGTACCGAATGAAAAAACTCAACAGCAGTGATGATGGGACTCAGGGTTGTATGGGATTGCCATGTGTGGTGATGTAACAAGGTGAGCATATGGTTTCTTGGCATAATTACAAATCTTAGTATATAGTATTGGGCAATTTGGAGGAGTGCTGGTGTTATTGTCTATATGTTTTTTGAGTTTCTGCCTATCCTCTTCTGCACATTTTCCATATGACACCCTTTCTGAAAGTACTGAGGTCTAAAGTGTTTAAAACATTTGATTATTCCACAGGTATCTTTATATTTTTGGTAACATTAGAAATTATAAGACATTATTTATGAAATGTAGGCATACCCTATTCCTGGCAATGACCAGGAATTTGAAGGATCACTACTTTGAAACTAGTTAATAAGGACATGGTTTCTGTTCTTTTTTTACAGATACTTTTAAAGTTTTGTCAGAAAAGAGCCACTTTCAAGGTAGGACAAGTTTGGAAATGTATTCTCATTCCTGTTAATTTTGTATATTTGTTTTTCTTATACTCTGAATGTGTCACTTATACAAATTCTGTTTCTATTTCAGCTGCACTGACACCCTGGTCCTGACTTCCCTGGAGGAGAAGTATTCCTGTTGCTGTCTTCAGTCTCACAGAGAAGCTCCTGCTACTTCCCCAGCTCTCAGTAGTTTAGTACAATAATCTCTATTTGAGAAGTTCTCAGAATAACTACCTCCTCACTTGGCTGTCTGACCAGAGAATGCACCTCTTGTTACTCCCTGTTATTTTTCTGCCCTGGGTTCTTCCACAGCACAAACACACCTCTGCCACCCCAGGTTTTTCATCTGAAAAGCAGTTCATGTCTGAAACAGAGAACCAAACCGCAAACGTGAAATTCTATTGAAAACAGTGTCTTGAGCTCTAAAGTAGCAACTGCTGGTGATTTTTTTTTTCTTTTTACTGTTGAACTTAGAACTATGCTAATTTTTGGAGAAATGTCATAAATTACTGTTTTGCCAAGAATATAGTTATTATTGCTGTTTGGTTTGTTTATAATGTTATCGGCTCTATTCTCTAAACTGGCATCTGCTCTAGATTCATAAATACAAAAATGAATACTGAATTTTGAGTCTATCCTAGTCTTCACAACTTTGACGTAATTAAATCCAACTTTCACAGTGAAGTGCCTTTTTCCTAGAAGTGGTTTGTAGACTTCCTTTATAATATTTCAGTGGAATAGATGTCTCAAAAATCCTTATGCATGAAATGAATGTCTGAGATACGTCTGTGACTTATCTACCATTGAAGGAAAGCTATATCTATTTGAGAGCAGATGCCATTTTGTACATGTATGAAATTGGTTTTCCAGAGGCCTGTTTTGGGGCTTTCCCAGGAGAAAGATGAAACTGAAAGCACATGAATAATTTCACTTAATAATTTTTACCTAATCTCCACTTTTTTCATAGGTTACTACCTATACAATGTATGTAATTTGTTTCCCCTAGCTTACTGATAAACCTAATATTCAATGAACTTCCATTTGTATTCAAATTTGTGTCATACCAGAAAGCTCTACATTTGCAGATGTTCAAATATTGTAAAACTTTGGTGCATTGTTATTTAATAGCTGTGATCAGTGATTTTCAAACCTCAAATATAGTATATTAACAAATTACATTTTCACTGTATATCATGGTATCTTAATGATGTATATAATTGCCTTCAATCCCCTTCTCACCCCACCCTCTACAGCTTCCCCCACAGCAATAGGGGCTTGATTATTTCAGTTGAGTAAAGCATGGTGCTAATGGACCAGGGTCACAGTTTCAAAACTTGAACAATCCAGTTAGCATCACAGAGAAAGAAATTCTTCTGCATTTGCTCATTGCACCAGTAACTCCAGCTAGTAATTTTGCTAGGTAGCTGCAGTTAGCCCTGCAAGGAAAGAAGAGGTCAGTTAGCACAAACCCTTTACCATGACTGGAAAACTCAGTATCACGTATTTAAACATTTTTTTTTCTTTTAGCCATGTAGAAACTCTAAATTAAGCCAATATTCTCATTTGAGAATGAGGATGTCTCAGCTGAGAAACGTTTTAAATTCTCTTTATTCATAATGTTCTTTGAAGGGTTTAAAACAAGATGTTGATAAATCTAAGCTGATGAGTTTGCTCAAAACAGGAAGTTGAAATTGTTGAGACAGGAATGGAAAATATAATTAATTGATACCTATGAGGATTTGGAGGCTTGGCATTTTAATTTGCAGATAATACCCTGGTAATTCTCATGAAAAATAGACTTGGATAACTTTTGATAAAAGACTAATTCCAAAATGGCCACTTTGTTCCTGTCTTTAATATCTAAATACTTACTGAGGTCCTCCATCTTCTATATTATGAATTTTCATTTATTAAGCAAATGTCATATTACCTTGAAATTCAGAAGAGAAGAAACATATACTGTGTCCAGAGTATAATGAACCTGCAGAGTTGTGCTTCTTACTGCTAATTCTGGGAGCTTTCACAGTACTGTCATCATTTGTAAATGGAAATTCTGCTTTTCTGTTTCTGCTCCTTCTGGAGCAGTGCTACTCTGTAATTTTCCTGAGGCTTATCACCTCAGTCATTTCTTTTTTAAATGTCTGTGACTGGCAGTGATTCTTTTTCTTAAAAATCTATTAAATTTGATGTCAAATTAGGGAGAAAGATAGTTACTCATCTTGGGCTCTTGTGCCAATAGCCCTTGTATGTATGTACTTAGAGTTTTCCAAGTATGTTCTAAGCACAGAAGTTTCTAAATGGGGCCAAAATTCAGACTTGAGTATGTTCTTTGAATACCTTAAGAAGTTACAATTAGCCGGGCATGGTGGCCCGTGCCTGTAGTCCCAGCTACTTGAGAGGCTGAGGCAGGAGAATCACTTCAACCCAGGAGGTGGAGGTTACAGTGAGCAGAGATCGTGCCACTGCACTCCAGCCTGGGTGACAAGAGAGACTTGTCTCCAAAAAAAAAGTTACACCTAGGTGTGAATTTTGGCACAAAGGAGTGACAAACTTATAGTTAAAAGCTGAATAACTTCAGTGTGGTATAAAACGTGGTTTTTAGGCTATGTTTGTGATTGCTGAAAAGAATTCTAGTTTACCTCAAAATCCTTCTCTTTCCCCAAATTAAGTGCCTGGCCAGCTGTCATAAATTACATATTCCTTTTGGTTTTTTTAAAGGTTACATGTTCAAGAGTGAAAATAAGATGTTCTGTCTGAAGGCTACCATGCCGGATCTGTAAATGAACCT